>NW_009646194.1:0-186494 GCF_000001405.40 Homo sapiens
CAGTATATTGAAAAAAGTCTGTGTAAAATGGACCCATGCAGTTCAAAACCATGTTGTTCAAGGGTCAACTGTACACAAGTGATTGAATTATTGTTGAATGACAATCCTATTCAATCGATCAGTAAAGATTTACTATATGGAGCAGTGCTGGGGATTGAGCTAGCCTTTCCTTGACTATCAGCTTCTGGGGACATCTGCTTTGAACTAAATACTCTCATTAGCTTTGCTGGTATCTCAGCTCAGCAGGAGAAGCTGTTGATAGTCTCTTGACAGGGCCAGCTGGCATGATAGACTTGTTTAAACCAAATTTGTTTCACATCATTCTAACAACCCTGCTTTAAGGTCCTAATGTCACAGGAGAGACAGAATTCAAAAACAACTGTCATACATATGAAAAGGGCTATACAGAAACTGTACAAGATTCTAAGAGCAAAATGGAGGGAGGGATTAATTCTGCCTACAAGAATTAAGAAAGGTTTCACAGAGAAGGTGGCATTTGAGCTGGGACTCAAAGGATAAGCAGTTTTATTTTTCCATTTGTTTTGTTGGTTTATTTTTAGTTTTTATTTTAGGTTTGGGGATACATGTCAGGGTTTATTACATAGGTAAACACGTGTCATGGGGGTTAGTTGTACATATTATTACATCACCCAGGTATTAAGCTCAATACCCAATAGTTATTTTTCCTGCTTCTCTCCCGCCTCCCACCCTCCCCGCTCAAGTAGACCCTAGTGTCTGTTGTTTTCTTCTTTGTGTTCATAAATTTTTATCATTCAGCTCCCAGTTATAAGTGGAAACATGCAGTGTTTGGTTTTCTATTCCTGCATTAGTTTGCTAAGGATAATAGCCTCCAGCCCCATTCATGTTCCCGCAAAAAAACATGATCTCATTCTTTTTTATGGCTGCATAATATTCAGTGGTGTATATGTACAACATTTTTTAAAATCCAGTCTGTCATTCATGGGCATTTAGGTTGATTTCATGTCTTTGCTATTGTGAACAGTGTTGCAATGAACATTTGCATGTGTATGTCTTTGCATACACATTTGCATGTAGAATGCTTTATATTCCTCTGGGTATATACCCAGTAATGAGATTGCTGGGTCAAATGGTAGTTCTGCTTTTAGCTCTTTAAGGAATTGCTATACTGCTGTCCACAATGGTTGAACTAATTTACACTCCCACCAACAGTGTATAAGGGTTTTCTCTGCAACCTCCCCACCAGCATCTGTTATATTTTTGACTTTTTAATAATAGTCATTCTGACTGGTATGAGATGGTATCTCATTGTGGTTTTGACTTGCATTTTTCTAATGATCAGCGATATTGAGCTTGTTTTCATATGCTTGTTGGCTGCATTATTTCTTCTTTTGAGAAGTGTCTGTTCATGTCTTTTACCCACTTTTTAATGGGGTTGTTTTTCTTTTATAAATTTAAGTTCTTTATACATGCTGGATATTAGACCTTTGTCAGAAGCATAGTTTGCAAATATTTTCTCTCATTCTTTAGGTTGTCTGTCGATAGTTTCTTTTGCTGTGCAGAAGCTCTTATGTTTAATTAGGTTCCATTTGTCCATTTTTGCTTTTGTTGCAATTGCTTTCAATGTCTTTGTTGTGAAATCTTTGCCTGTTCCTACATCCAGGATGGTATTGTCTAGGTTGTCTTCTAGGGTTTTTCTAGTTTTGAATTTTACATTTATGTCTTTAGTTCATCTTGAGTTGATTTTCATATATGGTGTGAGGAAGGGGTCCAGCTTCAATCTTCTGCATATGGCTAGCTAGTTGTCCCAGCACCATTTATTGAATAGGGAGTCTTTTCCCCATTGCTTTTGTCAGCTTTGTCGAAGATCAGATGGTTGTAGATGTGCAGCCTCATTTCTGGGATCTCTGTTCTGTTCCATTGGGCTATGTGCCTGTTTTTGTATCAGTACCATGCTGTTTTGGCCACTGTAGCCTTGTAGTATAGTTTGAAGTTGAGTAATGTGATTCCTCCAGCTTTGTTCTTTTTGCTTAGGATTGCCTTGGCTATTTGGGTTCTTTTTTGGTTCCATATAAATTTTAAAATATTTTTTTTCTAGTTCTGTGAAGAATGTTGTCAGTAGTTTGATAGGAATGGCACTAAATCTGTAAGTTGCTTTGGGCAATATAGCCATTTTAATGATACTGATTCTTCCTATCCATAAGCATGGAATGTTTTTCCATTTGTTTGTGTCTTCTCTGATTTCTTTGAGCAGTGTTTTGTAATTCTCATTGTAGAGATCTTTCACTTCCCTGGTTTGCTGTATTCCCAGGTATTTTGTTTTATTTTTTGTGGCAGTTATAAATGGGATTGCCTTCCTGATCTTGCTGTCAGTTTACTTGGTGGGTGTATAGGAATGCTAGTGATTTTTGTATATTGATTTTGTATCCTGCAGTTTTGCTGAAGTTATTTATCAGCTGAAGGAGCTTTCACAGGCCAAGACTATGAGGTTTTCTAGATATAGAATCATGTTGGCTGGGAGTGGTGGCTCACGCCTGTAATCCCAGCACTTTGGGAGGCTAAGGCGGGTGGATCACGAGGTCAGGAGATCGAGACCATCCTGGCTAACATGGTGAAACCCCGTCTCTACTAAAAATACAAAAAAAATTAGCCAGGTGTGGTGGCGGGCGCCTATAGTCCCAGCTACTCCGGAGGCTGAGGCAGAAGAATGGCGTGAACCCAGGAGGCAGAGCTTGCAGTGAGCCAAGATTGTGCCATTGCACTCCATCCTGGGCAACAGAGCGAGACTCAGTCTCAAAAAAAAAAAAAAAAAAAAAAAAGAAAAAGAATCATGTTGTCTGCAAACAGAGATAGTTTGACTTCCTCTCTTTCTATTTGGATGTCCTTTCTTTCTCTTGCCTGATTGCTTTGACCAGGACTTCCAATACTACGTTGAATAGAAGTGGTGAGAGATGGTATCCTTGTCTTGTGCTGGTTTTCAAGAGGAATGCTTCCAGCTTTTGCCATTCAGGATAATGTTGGCTGTGGATTTGTCATAGATAGCTGTTATTATTTTGATGTTTGTTCCTTCAGTACCTAGTTTATTGAGAGTTTTTAACATAAAGGGACGTTGAATTTTATCAAAAGCCTTTTCTGCATCTATTGAGATAATCATGTGTTTTTTGTCTTTAGTTCTGCTTGTGTGATGAATCATATTTATTGATTTTTGTATGTTGAACCAATCTTGCATCCTGGGAATGAATCTTGCAAGTATTTTGTTGAGTATTTTTGTGTTGATGTTTATCAAGGATGTTGGGCTGAAGTTTTCTTCTTTTGTTGTGTCTCTGCCAGGTTTTGGTATCAAGATGATGCTGGCCTCATAGAATGAGTTGAGAAGTCCTTCCTCTGTAATTTTTTGGAATAGTTTCTGTAGGAATGGTACCAGCTCTTCTTTGTACATCTGATAGAATTCAGTTGTGAATCCACCAGGTCCTGAGGTTTTTTTTTTTCTGGCCGGTAGGCTATTTATTACTGATTCAATTTTGGAACTTGTTATTGGTCTGTTCAGGGAATCAGTTTCTTCCTGGCTCTGTCCTGGGAGGGTGTATGTATCCAGGAATTTATCCATGTCTTCTAGGTTTTCTAGTTTGTATGTATAGAGTTGTTCATAGTAGTTTCTGATGGTTGCTTTTATTTCTGTGGGGTAAGTAGTAACCCCTTTGTCATTTCTAATTATGTTTATTTGGATTTTCTCTCTTTTCTTCTTAATTAGTCTAGCTAGTAGCCTGTTTTATTAATTTTTTCAAAAAACCAATTCCTGGATTCATTGATCTTTTGAATAGCTTTTTATGTCTCGATTTTTTTCAGTTCAGCTCTGATTTTTTGTTATTTCTCATCTTCTGCTAGCTTTGGGGTTGATTTGTTCTTGCCTCTTTAATTTCTTCAATTGTGAAGTTAGATTGTTAACTTGAGATCTTCCTACCTTTTTGATGTGGGCACTTAGTGCTATAAATTTCCCTCTTAACACTGTTTTAGCTGTGTCCCAGAGATTCTGGTATGTTTTATGTTTGTTCTCATTATTTTCAAAGAACTTCTTTATTTCTGCTTTAATTTCATTACTTACCCAAAAGTCATTCAGGATAGGTTGTTTAATTTGTGGTAATTGTATGGTAATTTCCGTGTAATTGAGTGATTTTCATTGTGTTGACTTCTATTTTTATTGCACTGTGGTCTCAGAGTGTGTTTGGTATGATTTCAGTTTTTTTACATTAGTTGAGGACTGTTTAATGTCCAATTATGTGGTCATTTTTGGAGTATGTGCCATGTGACAATTAGAAGAATGTATATTGTGTTGTTTTTGGATGGAGACTTCTGTAAAAGTCTATCGGATCCATTTGGTCCAATGCTGAGTTTAGGTCCTGAATATCTTTGTTAATTTTCTGCCTCGATGATCTAATACTGTCAGTGGAATGTTGAAGTCCCCCACTATTATTTTTTGGGAGTCTATGTCTCTTTGTAGGTGTCTAAGAACTTGCTTTGGCCGGGCGCAGTGGCTCACGCCTGTAATCCCAGCACTTTGGGAGGCCGAGGCGGGCGGATCACGAGGTCAGGAGATCGAGACCATCCCGGCTAAAACGGTGAAACCCCGTCTCTACTAAAAAAAAAATACAAAAAATTAGCCGGGCGTAGTGGCGGGCGCCTGTAGTCCCAGCTACTTGGGAGGCTGAGGCAGGAGAATGGCGTGAACCCGGGAGGCGGAGCTTGCAGTGAGCCGAGATCCCGCCACTGCACTCCAGCCTGGGCGACAGAGCGAGACTCCGTCTCAAAAAAAAAAAAAAAAAAAAAAAAAAGAACTTGCTTTATGAATCTGGGTGCTCCTGCATTGGGGGCATATATATTTAGGATAATTAGGTCTTCTTGTTGAATTGAACCCTTTACCATTATGTAATGCACTTGCTTGTCTTTTTTGATCTTTGTTGGTTTGAAATCTGTTTTGTCTGAAATCAGGATTGTAAACCCTGCTTTTTTATGTTTTCTGTTTCCTTGGTAGATTTTTCTTCATCCCTTTATTAATATTTTGAGCCCATGAGTGTCATTACATGTGAGATGGGTCTCTTGAAGACAGCATACCATTGGGTCTTACTTTTTTTATCCAGCTTGCCACTCTGTGCCTTTTTTTTTTTTTAATCAATGTTGACCAGGCTGGCCTCGAACTTGTAGCCTCACCTCCCCGAGTGCCAGGGCAACCAGCCTGAGCCACAGCAGCTCCCACACTCTGTGCCTTTTAAGTGGGGCATTTAGCCTGTTTACATTCAATGTTCGTATTTATATGTGTGGATTGGATCCTGTCATTGTGCTGTTGGCTGGTCATTATGTTGGCTTATTTGTGTGGTTGCTTTACAGTGACACTGGCTGTGTGTTTAAGTGTGTTTTTGTATTAGCTGGTAGTGGTCTTTCCTTTCTATATTTAGTTCTCCTTTCAGGATCTCTTGTAAGGCAGGTCTGGTGGTAATGAAGTCCCTCAACATTTGCTTATCAGAAAATGATGTTATTTCTCCTTCACTAAGGAAGCTTAGTTTGGCTGGATATGAAATGATTGGTTGAAGTTTTTTTCTTTAAGAATGTTGAATATAGGCCCCCAATCTCCTTTGGCTTGTACGGTTCCAGCTGAGAGGTCTGCTGTTAGCCTGATGGGGATCCCTTTTTAGGTGACCTGCCCATTCTCTCTAGCTGCCTTTAACATTCGTTCTTTCATTCTGACCTTGGAAAATCTGATGATAATGTGTCTTTGGGATGGTCTTCTTGTGTAGAATATTTCAGGAACAAAGTTGGGGAAGTTTTCATGGATGATATTCTGAAATATATTTTCCAAGTTGTTTTTCTTTCTTCCACTCCCTTTCAGGAATGCCAGTGATTCATAGATTTGGCCTCTTTACATAATCCCATACATCTCAGAGGTTTTGTTCATTCCTTTTTATTCTTTTTTCTTTGTTTTTTTCTGTCTGTCTTATTTCAGAGAACCAGTCTTCAAGTTTTGAGATTCTTTCCTCAGCTTGGTTTATTCTGCTGTTAATATTTGTGATTGCATTGTGAAATTCTTGTATTGTGTTATTCAGTTCTGTCAGACTCAGTAGATTCTTTTTTTATACTAGCTATTTTGTTCTTCCGCTCCTGTATCACTTTATTGTTAATTCTTATTTTCCTTGAATTTGGTTTTGCCATATCCTTGTTCCTATTTTTCTTCCTATCCATATTCAGAATTCAATTTCTGTCATTCCAGCCAGTTTGGCCAGGTTAAAAACTCTTGTTGGAGAACTGGTGTGGTCGTATGGAGGACGTATGACACTCTGGCCATTTGAGTTACTGGAGTTTTTGCAATGGTTCTTTCTCATCTCTGCATTGTGAGTGTTCCTTTAACTGCAGTGTAGATTGAGTACAGACAATAGACTTCTTTTCTGGATTTTTCTACTGGGCCAAGGTTTTGCATAGGGTCTTTATTTGAAGCTGACTTCTTGTCTCTGGTTTCAGAGGGGGGTATGTTAGTGAGGTATTTTTGGTGTTGGAGCTTTAGAGTGTGAGCCAGCAGGTGGTAATTGGGATTCTTGGTCAGTTGATAGAATTTTGCTTAGTTGTATGGCTCCCCTATGTTTCCTAACAGTTGCAGCTGTGTTCCCTCTCAGTGCTCTGAAAGTGTGGGTTCCTCTCCTTCTTGAGTGCTGGCTGTAGTTCATGACTTGACACTCCTGGGCTGCCCACTGCAGCTCTGGGGAGATCTCAGTGTTTATGTTCCTTCCCCAGCTTAGAGGCAGCAGAGGAAGAGATCTTAGTAGTAGTGGTGGCCAGGGTCATTTGCTTGTCTCCTAGGGGCTCCACCCCCGGGAGATGCAGGTCAGTAATCACTCAGTGCAGTCAGCCCAAGATGGAGGGTTTGTGCTGTGGGCTCAAGCCAGTGGTTCCCTGATGAGCTGTGGTGGGTGTGTGGGACCTATAGGAGATGGACTGGCCTCATCTCCTTGGGTCAACTACAGCTTGGAGGTATGGATAAGGCACTTAGGGTCTTTGCCCATTCATTAGTCTGAGGGTGGCAAGGGCAGTTCCACTGCAGAGGCATGGTTGAGAGGCTATCAGTTGCCCCTGGAGGCTCTGTGCAGGGAGTTGCTGAGTTGGTTCTGGCTTGATAGCTCTGGCAGGGGGTGGCTGGAGGCCCCCGCCTGGAGAACCTGCCTGGTGAGGAGATATGGGAATAGGCACCCACGTAACACTGTGGCTACATTTCCATAGGGCTGCTGCAGTATGGTTGGGGTCTGCTCCAGTCTCCAGTCGCCTTGGATTTTCCAGAACCAAGAGATGTCACCAGTGAAGGCTGTAAGATAGCAAAGATGGCAGCCTGTCCCTCCCTTTGGGAGCTTTGTCCCAGGGAGGTACAAGCCTGTTGTGGGCCCAAAGGCACCTGTAGGAAGTGGCTGGGGACCCCAGTTGGGAGGTCCTTCCCTGCGAGGAGGAATGGGATCAGGACCTACTTAAGAAAAAGCAGTCTGGCCATGTTTTGGTATAGCAGCTGTGCTGTGCTGGGAATCCATTTCAGCCCCTGGTTGCTTCAGACACTCTGAAGCCCAAAGGCTGGAACAGCTAAGTCACCCAAACATCAAATATGGTGGCCCACCCCTCCCTCTAAGAGCGCAGTCCCAGGGGGAATTCAGATCTCTATTGGCTGGAAAGCTCAGGTAGGGGTGGCTGGAGGCCCCAGTAGGAAGGTCCTACCCACTGAGGAGGAATGGGATGGGGTACCTGCTTAAAGCAACAGTCGGGCTACACTTTGGTAGAGCTGCTGTGCTGTACTGGGGGATCTCTTCCACCCCAGGTTGGCTCAGACTCTCCAAAGCCTAAAGGCTGGAATGGCTAAGATGCCTGAACAGCAAAGATGGCGGCCCACCCCTCCCACGGGGAGCTCCTTCTTAGGGAGATGCAATGCCACTGTTGGTAGCTTGCTGGAATTCCAAGCCAGTGGGTCTTATCTTGTGAGGTGCCATGGAAGTGGGGCCTGCAGGCTGTTTCTGCTCAGCCCCCTGGATTCAGTCTCCTTCCTAGGGGTACGTACAGGAGTTTAACCTCCCACTTTGCTGGAGCTGCAGCTACTTTTGCTGGAAACCCCAAGTATCTTAAGGTTCCAGGGTTTCTATGCATGCCTGAGCAGCTGCTCTGCCAAGACTCCACATAGCTTTGTCAGACAGAAGACTGAAGGCCCTAGTAGTGTGGGTTCATAAGGATATCTCCTGACCCGAGGGTTGCAAATATCTATGGGAGAAGCATGGTTTCCTGGGATCACTCATTCACTCACAGCTTTCCTGGGCGAGGGAGGATCCCTGGGCTCTGTGTTGCTCCCAGGTGGGCCATTGTCCTGTCTTGCTTTTCTTCGTTCTCTGTGGGTCAAGTTGTTTCCTTGATTAATCCCAATGCAAGTACCTGAATGTTTCAGTTGAAGGTGTTGTATTTACTCGCCCCTTCTGTACCTCTCTTTGAGAGCCACTCATACTAGCTGCTTCTAGTTGGCCATCTTGGCCACTCCCCGCTTTGTTTATTTTCTAGGCATAGAAAATGAGGGGCATTCCTGGTGGAGAATATGTAAAGGGAGGGAGGCACCACCAGGAAGCACCAAATAGTTCTCTGTTGACATATGCCACACTTTCACGTAATGTACCCATGTCATCGCTGACATGGCGCCATCATAACAGGGGAGAATGGCAAGAGGTGAGACCAAAAAAAAAAAAAAAAAATTGGTTGGGCCAGGTAGTCAAAGGGCCTTGAATGTCATGCTAAGGATTTGAATTTATTCTGAAGGTATTCTAAGACATTCCAATACCCACTGAGCTACAACTTCAAAGTGCCATCTAACTTTCCAGCTTGTGGCTTCAGAGTCCTGACAATAAGTAGAAATGGAACCAGTAGAGTATGTTGGAAACTGGAAGTCAGAAGGTCTGGATTCTAGTCTGACTTTGCTGTCTGGGTTTCTGTTTTCTTCTAGGTAATGTGAAATGGTGAGACATGATTCCTCAGAGCTCTGTTATCCCACAAGTCTGTGTCTACCAGCCGCACAAGGAAAATCTTTCACGAGGTTCCTCTCAGTTCCTGTGGCAGACAGACTCTTGGGGAAGTTGCTCACCATCCCACCTGCTGATGTCATGGCTTTCTGTAATTCCTTCTGTTTGAGTGGTGGGGGTGGGTGGCTGCAGTGGTGCTGTGACTTGCTTCTCACTGGTAGAATGCAGCAAAGGTGATGAGATAGGTGGGATAGATGGTGCCATGTCAGCGATGACATGGGTATATTATGTGACAGTGTGGGGCCGGGCACGGTGGCTCAAGCATGTAATCCCAGCACTTTGGGGGGCCAAGGTGGGCGGATCAGGAGGTCAGGAGATTGAGAACAACCTAGCTAACACGGTGAAACCCTGTCTCTACTAAAAAATACAAAAAATTAGCCAGGCGTGATGGCAGGCGCCTGTAGTCCCAGCTACTTGGGAGGCTGAGGCAGGAGAATGGCGAGAACCCGGGAGGTGGAGCTTGCAGTGAGCCGAGATGGCGCCACTGCACTCCAGCCTGGGGGACAGAGTGAGACTCCGTCTCGAAAAAAAAAAAAAAAGAAAGCGTGGCACTTGTCTTGCTGAGTCTCCCTATGCCTCTCCATTGGTTTTGAAGAAGCAAGCTGGCATGTGGCAGCCTGCGGATGTTGGGAGGCCACACGGCAAGGAACTGCAGCATCTCTAGGAGCTGAGGGTGGACCCTGACTGGCAGCCAACAACAAACTGAAGCTCTCAAGCCTACCACCATAAGGAATTGAATTCTGCCAATAACCTGAGTGAGCATGGAAGCAGATCCTTTCCCAGCCAAGCCTCAGACAAGGTTCTGGCCCTGGGAAACACCTTGACTGAAGTCTTGTGAGACCATAGGAAGAAGACTTAGCTGAGCCAGTCTCAGATCCTGACCCATAGAACCTGTTAGATACTTAGCATGTGTTGTTTTCAGCCTCTGTGTTTGTGGTAATTTATTATACAATACATACTGTTCCCCACCCTAATACTTGAAACTCCTGACCCCAATCCCTGTGCTCTATTTACAACTCCATGCCACCACTGGGGGAATAATCCCATAATAGTATCTGTGTGTGGGTAGCTTTACCTGTCTGTATCTACACATAGATCTTGTGACAGTAAATTTTATCTATCAACTTGACTGGGCTAAAGGATGCCCTTATAGTTAATTAAACATTATTTCTGGATATGTCTGACTAGCAGAGATTAGCATTTGGATTGGTGGACTGAGTGAAGCAGATGGCCCTCAATGTCATCCAATCCTTGAGGGCCTGAATAGAGCAAAAAAGGCAGATGAAGGTTGATTTTGCTCTTTGCCTGACTGCTTGAGTTGGGACATTGATCTCTTGCGCTTGGTGCTTTGGTTCTTAGGCCTTCAGACCTGAGCTGAAATCTACACCACCGGCTCTCTGACTATCAGGCTTTGGACTATACTTTGGGCTTTCCTGGGTCTCTTACCTGGCAGACAGCAGATTTTGGAACTTTTCAGCCTCCATAATCATGTGAGCAAAAACCTTATAACAAATTATCTATCTATCTATCTATCTATCTATCTATCTATCTATCTATCTACCTATCATCTATCTATCATCTATCTATCTATCTATCTATCTATCTCTCTATCTATCTATCTATCTATCATCTTCTGTTGGTTCCGTTCTCTGGAGAACCCTGACTAATACAATTCATATTCAATCACAGGCCTTTAGGAAGTACTTAATATGTGCTGAGCACATACAGAGATAGGTAAGTCCAGGGTATCTCTGAGGTGCTCACAGTCTGAAGAGGAAAACAGCCCCATGATGCTTGAGCTGTGGAAGGCTCACCTGCAAGGGTGAGCTAGCTGAGGAAATCAATGTGTGTCCTGCACTGTAGAAATCAGTTTGTTTCCCCAGGGTTATTGCATTAGATTCTTATAAACCTCTAAGGTAGATGCCTTTTACAGAGAAGGGAGCTGAGCTCTAGAGAGGTTAAGGAACTTGCCTTAGAGGCAAGTCCACTTAGTGTGGGTCAGATCCAGGATTCTAACCCAGTTCTTCTGATTTCAACTTAGTTGGATAATTAAAATTGACTATATATTTCCTTTGTGTTAACAGATTCTACTGGAACTTCTAGCAGGCAAACTCACCTAGTGCTCTCTGGAAGGTGATGTGGGTGGAACTCTGTCTGATTCCAATGTCTAGATGCCAATGAGCTCTCCACCATCACCCCAGAGACAGGGGAAAGAAGATATAAGTAGACCTGGGCCTGTCTTCATTCACTCTCAGTGAGCACACGGCAGGCATTCAAGAAATATAGAGGCTGAATTACATTTTTTTTGAGGGTCTAAACTTTGCCCTCTGTGACTAGGTGTCATTTGATATGGCAATGAGAATACAGAGCAGAGATACTCAAACTCAGGAACCAAAAGAATCATCTGAAGATAACTGTTAAAATGCAGATTCTAGGGTCCTCCCTCCAGAGATTCCGATTCAGTGGGGCCCAGGAGACATTTTCAATTATACCCTCAGATTATTCTGACACAAGTCAATCACAGAGCACATGGCTACTTGTGACAAAATCACAGCCAAGCTAGGTTGAGATAGTTTGCCTAGACTCTGATGTGGGTTGTTCCCAAACATCCCCACTAATGTTTATAATTCCTTTTCCTTATGGGAGGGAGAGGCCAGTGATGTGTTGGCAAATGTTTAATAACTGGATCTCTGGTGGAAAAGAAAAAAAATCCCTGATTTGCAGCATTTGCCAATACCCATGGTGTAAATACTCTCACCGTGGCTGATAGCAAGCTACCAACAGTAGCTTGTTAAGACTGAATTGGGAAGAGATGCACATCATTGGCCTTTGCAGGTCAGTAGGAGTCAGCTCCAGCAATCATTGGAGGGAGGCTGAATAGGAGAGGAGAGGACTTACCTCCCTGGGCCTCAGTTTTCCCACTTATAAAATGAGAATTCATGAAGGTTCTGATCTGTGACTCGAGACTAATTTTAGGCCTTAGCTCAGGGGCCATGTGGCCAAAGGAGGTGGTCAGGTTGCCAGGGCACTCAGGGATGAGGAGGCAGAGTGGGTCAGCTCTGCTTCCTCCTCCCTTCTTGGAGAGGGTGGAGGAGCCCACAACCGGGTGAACAGAGGAGGGGCCTTGGAGTTGGTCCTGCCTCAAATCTTGAACCAGATGCTTACTAAATTTCTGAGAGCCTGTTTCCCTATCTATAAACTGGGAAAATACTACTGTACCTACCCCATAGAGTGGTTACAAGAATTAAATGAGACAAAGTCTGGCATGTGGTAAGGTTTCTGTAAACATTAATCTTTCTTCTTGTGACCATTTCTTCCCCTGCCCATGACATTTATTTCCCAAATTCTGCCAGAGCCTGGTTAGACCAGTGGGCCAATTTCATTCATAAGCAGAGTAGTAGGTCACCCATCACTGTGCAATTTGAGGTAAAGGTCCTTCAGGCAAAAAATTATATGTGTATACACACACACACACACACAGATATGTGTACATATATTCTCCCACTGGTCTGTCATAGACTCTGAACTTCCACTATTTAAATCTTTATCAATGCTCCATAGCAAAAGACCACCAGGAACACACCCGTAGTCAAAGTTGGTATTACTACATGCTGCACAAAGGACATAACACACCTTGGAGACCATGGGGCAGCTCAGAAAGAGAGTACCAGGAGAGTTTTTCTCTGGGCCAGGTGCTGTCAGGGAGCAGTGGCAATTCAGTGATTAGGCATTTTAATTATTTTTATCTAAGAGGGGGACGAATGGAATGTGGCTAAGGCTGTCATTGGTAAAGAAATCACCACACTCATGTTGACCAGGAGAGGGGGCTGTTTGGTAGTTTTAACGATTTTGCAGTGTTCTTTTTTTTTCGGTTGTTGTTGTTGTTGTTGTTTTGTTTTGTTTTGAGATGGAGTCTCGCTCTGTCGCCCAGGGTGGAGTGCAGTGGCACAATCTTAGCTCACTGCAATCTCTGCCTCCTGGGTTCAAGTGATTCTCCTGCCTCAGCCTCCCAAATAACTGGGATTATAGGCATCCACCACCACACCCGGCTAATTTTTGTATTTTTAGTAGAGATGGGGTTTCACCATGTTGGCCAGGCTGTTCTTGAACTCCTGACCTCAAGTGATCCCCCTACTTCGGCTTCCCAAAGTGCTGGGATTACATACGTGAGCCACCACGCCTGGCCAGGTTTTTCTCTGTATTCAGACATGGTGTGGAGTGATCTTTTTTTGGTCTTGCTGCCTGTCTTATGATTATAGAGGCTTTGCCTGGTGTCAGTGTTCTGGGAACATGCTTATGTTCAGCAGGAGAATGCCAGGGCCTTGCTGTGAGTGCCAAGCCAGGACACTGCTGATGCTGATGGGGCTGCTGTTTTCTTTCTTGTCTTATTCATTTGCAAAACCTTTACTGATGACTTTTACCACAGTCACACATATTATCTCATTTAAACCTCACAGCAACTCTGTGAGGGATTGTTATCTCCATTTTATGGATGAGGAAGCTGACTCTGAGAGATGACTTTCCAAATTCATCCAACTGGAAGAAAAAGGAAGTCTCTGGGGACTTGAATCCAGAACTGTCCAGCTCCAAGTCCAGGGCTCACTCTATTAAGCCACTCCATGAGGAATGAGTCCCTAAGGAGGCCACAGAAGGCCCTAAGCCCTCTTTTGTTCTCTGGAAGAGAGTGCCATTTCTTGGCCCTTCCCAAGGCCTTGACAACTGAAGGTGAGTGTGGGCCCGCCGGCCAGGCACACTGGCTACACAAGGCTGACTTTCCACTGGCACTGTGGTTTGGCATAGGTGAGAAGGCGGGCAGTAACTCATGTGACCTGTACAAGTCATTCCCCACCTCGGCCCTCAGTTTCTGCTTCCAACGACCTAAGAGCCCCTGAACTCAGGAAATCTGTGAATAAATATTTGTTGAATGCATGAGTAAAATGCACGAATGAATGGGAGTCTAACCAGAAGTGGATTTTCCAGTCACTATTTTGTTGTGTTTTTCTCTTTTTTTCCTTAGTTCCCAGAAGAACCACAAAGCATAAATTTCCCCAAAAGGGGAATTTTGTTGATGGCTTTAGTCTATTCCCTCCTAAAAGACCAGCTACAACCAAATGAAGTGAACATAACCTCAAGGGTGTATTGTCTTCATAATAAAAGATGAAGCTTAGAACTGGATCACTTGGCCCTTTCTCTTCTGACATCCTCCCAGTTGAAAAGGCCTGCATCTCCTAATAGCCTGCCAGCATTCTCTTAGATCTGCAGTTGGGCTCAAAACACCCAAGCCTCTGCACAATGTTCTTTGTAATTTCAGTCTTTTCCCTGAAAAGTTGGCCTAGTAGCCATACTGCTTCCTGTCATAATGCTGCCTTCCCCGGGCATACAGAAGACCCTTGCCCTTCTTATATTGTGTCACTTTGTGGGGTTGGTGCTTGCTACAATTCTTATAGAAAGTCTGGTGAGTTTTAGGAACGTTCACCATGTTTGTGGGAGTGCTATAACTACCTTTGTTGTGTTTTTCTGTCTTTTTCTTCTTTCTGATGTGCTGGTTCCTTGCTTTTCCCTTCCTCCCTTGGTTCCTATCTGAGCTGCTTTTTTTTTTTTTTTTTTGAGACGGAGTCTCGCTCTGTTGCCCAGGCTGGAGTGCAGTGGTGCAATCTCGGCTCACTGCAACCTCCGCCTCCCGGGTTCAAGTGATTCTCCTCCCTCAGCCTCCCGAGTAGCTGGGACTACAGGTGTGTGCCCCCACGCCTGGCTAATTTTTTGTATTTTTAGTAGAGACAGGGTTTCACCATGTTAGCCAGGCTGGTCTCGAACTCTTGATCTCAGGCAATCCACCTGCCTCGGCCTCCCAAAGTGCTGGGATTACAGACATGAGCCACCACGCCCGGCCTCTGAGCTGCTCTTTCAGTCCTTCCTCTACTGTTTCTGGGGGCCCTGGACTCTCCCGGCCCAGTGGCCTAGGAATTTGCTGCTGACATAGCTGCATGTCTGGCAGCTCTGAGTCCAGCAAGCAGCTGCTTCTGTGCCGGCCACAGTGTGCTGGCCATCGCCCACCACCATACCCAGTAACCTCCCCCAGAGGCTCCATCTCATCCTGCCCAAATTGCTGAGCCAGGACTCCCTTGGGGTCATTAGTGTAGAGGGGCTGGGGCTTGCCCTACTTAGAAATGGCACAGTCCAACCCCCTCAGGTCCAAAGAGGGGACACAATATACCCATAGTCACACAGCAATTTAGCATGATGATAAACAGAACCCAGGCATTCTGATTGGTTGGTACACTTCCCTTATCTTCTGGGATAGGTCTGCTTTTATTTGGAGTCTGTACATTGTAGTATATTTAGTATGTTGATTCCACACGTTTGTTGACCAGACTCCTGTGCTGCGTTCTGGAGATAGGAAGAATAAAAAACCATCTGTGCTTTTAGGGAATTCTAGTCAAGTTGGGGAGATAAATAAATTGACAATTACATTGTAAGTGCTCCGACAGCTAACCAGACAAAATGCTGCAGGAGGACAGGAAGGGAGCAAGGAACTGCCAGGAATGGGGAGAAGGTCATGATGTTTGAATTGGGTCTTGAGGATGGGTAGGAGTTTACCCAGCAGAAAGAGCATGGTTGTGGGTAGGAAGAGCATTGCAGTCAAGGTTAACTACTTACCTGTAGAAAAGTGTGGTGCTATTGTAGAGCAATGTTAGATGTCTCCACATCTAGCAGTGATGTGAGGAAAAAGGCCTGTTATGGAATAAGAAGGACCTAGGTTCTGGTTTCAATTCTGTCACAGAGTCACTGAAAACCTTTAAGCAAACCACTCAGTCCAATTGTGTCTCAATTACCTCATCTCTCCAGGAGGATGCTCTCAAAGCCAAATATCTCAGAGCTGCTCTATCCGATAGAATAGCCAGTAGCCACAACGGTCTATGTAAATTTAAATTAACTAAAAGTAAATACATTTAAAATTCTGTTCCTCAATTGCACTAGCCATGTTTCCAGTGCTCAGAAGCTACTGGTGACTAGTGGCTGCAATATTGGACAGCACAGATATTGAATACCTCCATCACCCTAGAAAGTCCTGCTGGGCTGGGCTGGGCTGGGCTGCCCTAGAGGCCTGTGATTCTCAGAGGAGAAGGGATTTGTCCCATCACCTAGCAAGGTCTCCAGGCTCCCCACTTACCCGTTTAGGAAGATATCCCAAGGAACAGGATAGAGAGGATGCACCATTCCACTGCCCAACCTCAGTTCCTGAAGTACAGTGACCCAAATCAGAGGGCAGGGGTCCCTTGTCCCTTTGTCAGTGCACACTATACTCTGATTTCGCTGTGTGAAAGCTTATCACAGTGCCGGGCCCATAATAGCAGCTTTCATAAATAGCCAGTCCAATTCCCAGTTTTGCAAGTGAGAAAACTGAGGCTCAGAGTGGCCTGGTTTAGGATCCAAGTCTTAGAAATTTCCAGGATATCTTGAATGATGGAATTTAGGAGAACACAATGGTCTTTGATCCTCATTTTGGCTTAAGACTTTCAGGTTTTATTTATGTTGTAATCCAGATGATACTATGTGGAATCAAACACATGACCTTATCTGTGGCTAGATGCATGACTGTCCAGGAGCTTGCAGGAATTAACCAGTGGCCAACCTTGTAATGCACAAGACTTTTATGTTACCTGAAACAAATAGAATTAGGTAGCAGGTAGAATTTTTATTTTTATTTATTTATTTGTTTATTTATTTTTTGAGACAGAGTCTCACTCTGTCACCCAGGCTGGAGTGCAGTGGTGTGATCTCAGCTCAGTGCAACCTCCGCCTCCTGGGTTCAAGTGAGCTCATGCCTCAGCCTCCCAAGTAGCTGGGACCACAGGTGCGTGCCACCACACCCAGTTAATTTTTGTATTTTTAGTAGGGGCGGGGTTTCACCATATTGATCAGGCTGGTCTTGAACTCTTGACCTCAAGTTATCTGTCCTCTTTGGCCTCCCAAAGTGCTGGGATTACAGGAGTGAGCCACCACGCCCAGCCAGAATCAATATTTTTGAAAAATGAACACAAATGTATTACCTACCATGTACCAAGCACAGTTTTAAGAGGGTCTAGTAGATAACTGAGCAACACTATGAGGTACAGATGATTACTCTCATCATCCTCATTTTCCAGACAAGGAAACGGAGGCTGAGATAAATAACTTGCTGAAGGCCTCATAGCTATTGTGAAGCCTGGACTCACCCAAGCAGTGGCCTCAGAGCCCACAATCTTAACCCCTTTCTAGAGCCCTCTCCTCAACTTTGCAATTGTTGAACATCAGGACCTGAGGGAAACTTTGGGATCACCTAGTCTAATCCCTTTCCTTTCCTCATGCGGTACTGAAGGCCACAGAGTGACCCAGATCCAGCCAAGGTTATTCAGCAAGTTGTAAAAGACAGAGCTTGAATCTGAGTCCTGAGGGTGGGTCCCCTGGCTCCTGTTCAGTTATTTTTGCTCACTTCTTTTAAAAAGCCTAAAAAATGAAATGATCCACTGAGCATCTTCTGGGTACCCACATTGTGCTGGATGTTTTTGTGGAAAAAAACCTTGGGTTTACATTGAGAAGTCCTGGAATCAAATCTTACCTCAATTGCTTGCCCAGTGACCTTAAGCAAGTCACTTTCTATGTCTTGGCCTCAGTTTCTCCAGAAAAGGAATAAGGATATAATTGCCTTAAGGATTATGTCAGAATGAGTGGCACAAAGTAATTACTCAAGTAAAAGGAATGGACGCTGAAGACACAGGCCGTGTGCCCTCTACAATCTGGATGTGGAGGTGAGACTGACATGCAGAGGAGGATCAGAGGAGAGCAGAGAGCATGCTTTGTTGGCAGGTCAGACGATGAATGTTAGGACACTTCATGCACTGTTGGCTCCATCTGGCAATGGAGGTGATTCAGGATCAAGAAATCATCCAGGGAAAGGCTGGCCTGCAAGAACCCAGACTGGACACGAGGTGGCGCTGGTGGCCCACCTGGGAACAGGCAGAGACCGGCGACCAGCCCCGGGGAATCTGATCCTGGCAGTTTCATTCTTTTTGCTTCTAGGCATGAAGTCTACATGAGGGACCCTGGTGGGCTGAGGATGAGGGCGCTCTGCCCCACCAAAGGATAAATGGGAATTTTACACTCCTTATCTCATTTAGTCTTCACAGCCACCTTTTCAGGTATTCAGTTTTACACACAGGACACTGTGACTCAAAAGATGTTAAATAATTTCCTCAAGGGATACTATTGAGAAGTAGATCCAGGCCCACTGATTCTAAATCCCATGCTCTTTCCAGGAAAATATGCTCCTCCCAGCCAGTGGAATCAGTCTATCAACAGAGGCTAAACAGGATGTAAGGGAGATCGTACCAGAAAATAGAAGACCAGATTAAAACTGCCTCCTCCTCATGGCCTTCCTAGACTGTCCCCATTCCTTTTTCACCCAGTCCACTCCAACAACCTCCTAATCCATTTCCCTGCTTCCATTCTTGCACCCTAGGCTCTGTTCTCTACAGTGATCTTGTGAGAAGGAAACCAAGTGGCAGTATTCTGCCTTTTTGCCGTTCAAAACACTCCAATGCTTCTGATTCCAATTTGAACAATGTCTGAATTTCTCACCACAGCTATGAGCGGTGCTGTGCTGGTAACAACCAGTTCTCAGAGGCAGAGAGCCCTGATATGTAGCATTTGCTAATTGTGGTGCATATTCTCCCTCCATGGCCAATTTCAAGCTTCCAAGGTAACATCACTGAGCTCAGAGTTGAGAAGGGATGTAAAGAATCGAGACAGAGCCAGTCTGAGTTGACACCAACGCACTGCTGCACCAAGGCTCCACACATAAGATCTGGCCTCAGACGCCTTCTCCAGACAACCCGCTTATTCTGCTACCCCTGTTCACTCTGCTGGATCACTGGCCTTCTTGCTGTTTCTTGAACATAACAAGTACATTTCCACCTCGGGGCCTTGGCACTTGCTTTCCTCTGTTTGGGATGCTCTTCCCCAAAAATGTGCATAACTTGCTGCGTCACTTCATTCAGGTCTCAGCTCAAATGTTACAGAGAGGCCTCCCCTGAGCATCTTCCCTAAGACATCCTACCCACTCCCACCCTCCATCACTTTTATTCCTTGCTCTGCTGTATTTTTTCTCTAAGGGCCTCAATCTCTATTTAATAATAAATGATAGACATTTAAACTTATTTGTCTAGGTCAGGACTGGATGGCCATCCCTAGAACAGACCTGACTCAAAGAAAGCACTTAATACATATTTGCTGGTTGATAAATGAGTAATTACTTTTCCTCTACATGTAATGCCTTTTTTTACTGCAATAGCCTTGATGTTTTCTCTTTATTCTTGATGTGCTATCGTCTCACTACACTGGGTCTAGGTGTAAATTTATTTGTTCTGTTCAGCACTGAGTGCGCATTTTGAATCTAAGCAATGTCTTTCTCTCATTCTGGACAATTCTCAGTCCTTATTTCTGTAATCTTGCTTCTCCTGCACTCCCTCTGTTCTGGAACTCCTACATAACAGTCTGTCAGTCTCTACTCTGTGTTTCGTAACTGCTTGGCATTCTATAGAATGCCAGTTGTCTCCCAGTGTCTATTCCACTTTTTCCTTAGTAATAGAATCTCTAACTTTCAGCTAGGCACATGCCTACTTGGGTTAAAAATGACATTTCTTGGCTGGGCGTGGTGGCTCATGCCTGTAATCCCAGCACTTTGGGAGGCTGAGGTGGGCAGATCATCTGAGGTTAGGAGTTTGAAACCAGCCTGGCCAACATGGTGAAACCCCCTCTCTACTAAAAATACAAAAATTAGCTGGGTGTGGTGGTGGGTGCCTGTAATCCCAGCTACTTGGGAGGCTGAGGCAGGAGAATCACTTGAACCCAGGAAGCGGAGGTTGCAGTGAGCTGAGACTGCGTCACTGCACTCCTGCCTGGGCAACAAGAGTAAAACTCTGTCTCAAAAAAAAAAAAAATTTCTGAGTCTTCCACTTAGCTACATTCGGGCATATAACTGAGTTCTGAACAATGAGTATAAGCAGGAGTCTTGTGGAACCTCCTTGTAATGTCTTTTAAGCAGGGGAGTGTGCTATTCTTTGTGCCTTCTTCCTGCTATCTGAAAAATACACGAGGTGGCTGGAGTTGGTGCAGCCATCTTGGACTATAGGGTAGAAGTCAGATAGAAGGAGCCTGGGTTTTGATGGCTTTTATGAGACTGCCCTCTTAGCTTTTTTTTTTTTTTTTTTTTTTGAGACGGAGTCTCACTCTGTCCCCAAGGCTGGAGTGCAGTGGTGCCGTCTCGGCTCACTGCAGGCTCCGCCTCCTGGGTTCACACCATTCTCCTGCCTCAGCCTCCCAAGTAGCTGGGATTACAGGGGCCCGCCACCGCGCCCGGCTAATTTTTTGTATTTTTTTTTTTTTAGTAGAGACAGGGTGAACCGTGTTAACCAGGATGGTCTCAATCTCCTGACCTTGTGATCCGCCCACCTCTGCCTCCCAAAGTGCTGGGATTATAGCCGTGAGCCACTGCGCCCGGCCGAAACTGCCCTCTTAGCTTTAAACTTCCTAGTGCTGGACCATTCCATGAGAGAGAAATGGACTTGTATTTTGCTTGAGCCATGGTTATTTTGCTGTCTTAGTTTGGGTATCCCAAAAGCAGGACCCAAGAGAAGGATTTGGATGCTAGTAGTTAATTTGGGAAGTGCAGTGAAGAAGTGGAGATGTGAGGCAAGGAAAGGAGAAAAGCCAGTAAAAGATTTGAACATGAGCAGTTTGCTGCTGGTGGCCAACGGAGGCTCAGCCCTGGTGTGGGGCCTGTGGGAGACTATGTGAAACAGACCACATAGTTGTCCTACCAATGGGAAAGGAAGCTGGAGTATTTATCATGAACTAATAATGCCCCTCTTGGTTGAGGGTCTTTGTTGGAACTAACTCCCCCAGGAGTCCACCTGTCCTTGTGCAAGCTTGAGCATGCTCCTGTGGCCAGAAACACTTAGGCAGAGATGTAGGAAGCTGTCTTCGTGTACAGAGCCCATCTTCAGGTGACTGCTGGGGTCAGCCAAGGGAATGTGGGCTGGGCATTAACAGTGTCTGCAACTTGTCTGCTGTATTCCAACCTCCTCTAACTTCTACAATGCTCTTTCCTATCATTTATCTCTTGTTGCAACGTAGGTGAAATGCACAATTCATTTGCTTCCAAATAATTAATCCTATCTTCTACCATGTCTAATCTAGATTTATTCTTTCTCTCCAGTTTAGTTCAACAACTATGTTTCTCATTCCCAGTGTTTCTAAATGGCTTTATTTAGTTTCTGCTTGTTTTTAATTTATAATTTATTATTCTTTTGTATGTATGGATGTTATTCCTGACTTTATTTGAAGAGTCTAAACATATTTATTTTGAAATTGTTTTCAGATAATTCTATTATTTCACTTTTGTCTGTAGTGGATTCATTCTGCCAATTATTAGTTTTGTTGACTGTCTACATCTGCATTCATTTTCGTCATGTGTTTTGGAATTTTAGTTTGCAGGCTTTTTTAAAGTGGGATTTATTTTTCTGTACATACTCACTCTGCTTAGTGGGTTGATAGCTTCTCCCCACACTCCTGGGACCCTGTCTAGAGCCAGGTTTTAGGCTGCTGACTCAAGGCTTTCATCCTGTAATGGTGGTGGGAATTTCACATGTCCAGTCACTGAACCAGCATCATGAGATTTGGCCCTGGCCTCACAAGGGTCTCATTTAGCCCCTCAGGCAGTGAGGGAGTCAAACTCCTGGCTGCTTCCCCTGCTTCTGGTGCCAGACCCCTGGCTTCCACATTATGTAGCCCCTTGTGTTTCTATTGAAATTCTGATCCACAAAAATGTTGATTCTGATTTTGAGCATGGCTATTCCTGTTTTGAATCTATCTTTTTATATAATTGCTGTGAGTTTGGTGCATGAATTTACAGCACCATCTTGATCTGAAGTTTCTGGACCCTTGAATCTCCCCAGGGAAGACACTCTCTGACTGCAGATAGGATTTTTTTTTTCCCCCAGCATCCAGGCTTGCAGATACAAGAAGGAAAGGAATCTGCCTTTATGGATCCTTCTCTTTTATTCCCCAAGGTGACTCAGGCCCTGGAGGATACAAAGAGCCCCCTGTAAAAAGTGTCTTTAGACCTCTTGGCCTCTAGTCTCCATCACAGGGCTTCCTGCCAACACTCCATCTCAAAGGTCTTCCCTGACGTGGGGCTTTAGGTGTTCACAGCCATATTTGCATTTCAACAAGGGACTCATAAAGATGTTTTCATCTTTAAAATGTACAGGCATGGAATTCAAATCGCGGAGTGACAGGCTGTGTGTGGGGCTGATTGTCTGGGTCAGAGACATCACAACTGGCTGGTGAGGAGAGCTTTCTGACAACAGGAGCTGTCCAACAAGGAGTGGGCTGCTGTCACCGAGGAGCTGAAGCGGCCGACGGCTGACCTTCCACTGGGCACTAGGCAGGGCCTGGATGGAGGGAGTCTTAAAGTAGGAGGGAGAAGCCAAGGAAATAGCTCTCTAGAAGCATTTTGTACACTGAAAAGTGTCATTGAAACGCTGTCACAGTTCTAAGAGGAGACATTGCTCCTCTGAAAACCAGCCTCACTCCCTAAGCTGATGTATTTCCAGAAGCAGGGCCTGAGCTGCCACATGCAGGCCCTGAGGACTTGAGGCACATCGTTCTTTTTTTGGGTCTCATCTGTGAATCAGCCACTCAAACCTAGTGGCTCTCAGCCTGCAAGTTCATTCATGCAATGCAGGGCTTCTCCACTGCTCCCCCAAACCTCCTCAGGCCACCCCTGCGTGTGCACCCACCGATATGGCCTGTTCTGAACAGGTGACCCTCAGCTGCCAGCATCACTGCCCTTCAAAACCTGACTTATCTCTCGTGTTTTACAGTTACCATAGCAGAAAGATTTATCTTCATCTTTTACCATTTAAAAATACTAATGGAATTACTGTTTTTGTCTGTTTCTGTTTTGAAGCCATACGATTTTTCTCTCACTGCCACCACATTTGTGATGGCCTTAAAAATTATTCTTAAAGATAAATATAATTCTAGAAAAACCTTCTCAGGGAAAAATGGGTATTTGTTTCCAACTGTTGTGGGGCTGAAAAACTTTTATAGCATGCTTGGTGGCATATATGGGATTCTAAGGGCCTTTCAGCACCAACCTTCCTTCCTGGTCCCAGCAGGTGAAGGCAGGGCCCTCCCAGGCCAGTGCACCTGTCACAGCCCTTGGCTGGCTCGAGGAAGGAAGGGACTTCACATCTATTGAATGTTGTGTGCTTCACAAGGGCTGTCTCCTTTCATCTGCACAGCAACTCATTGTACAGATGAGGAATTTGGGCCCGGAGAGGTGAGGTGACCCACCCAAAGTCACACAGCCAGGAAGAAGCAGAGTGCACTTCCCTCTCAATCACACTCTCCAAATCCTCCAGTTGGTTCCTGTTCAGCCTTCTGAACAGGGTGGATTTTTGCTTAAGACTTTCTATATGGATTATAACCCTTAAATTATGATATTTTGTCATAACTATTTTAGCTTTCATCTGTGTGGTACTTAACATTTTAGCATAACTTTTTGACTATAAGAAAAGTACACGATCTATTTTTTGTAACTTTTTTGGGGGGTGACTTTTAGTTTAAAATTATTATAAGTTCACAAGAGGTTGCAAAAATGGTATACAGAGAGGTCCCATGACATTCACTCAGTTTCCCCCAATGGTACCATATCAAAATCAGGAAAGTGACATTGGTAACTTGTGTGTGTATAGTTCATTGTCATTTTATCCCATGGATAGATTCATGTAACCACACTGCAATCAAGATATAGAACTGTTCCATCACCACAAAGGTTTTCTTCATGTTACCCTTTTTAATCATAGCCACCCCCTTCCCTCTCACCATCCCTAACCCCTGGCAACCACTAATCTGCTCCCCATTTCTACAATTCTGTCATTCCTAGAATGTCATATACATGGACTCATACTGTATGTAACCTTTTGAGACTGATGTTTTTCACTCAGCGTAATGCCCTTGAGATCCATCCAAGGTGTCCTGTGTATCCATAGTTCATTCTTTTTTATTGTTAAGTAGTATTCCATGGGTGATCTGTTTTTTGAACACTTGGAAACACAGAGAATATTTTTTAAAAATAGAAAAAAATCAAAACAAACTCAAACCTCCAGTTAGGAGGAGGGAAGTCTCCTGGTTTCCTTCTTGCTCATGTCCGAAGTGGCTTAGGCCCTGGGCTGACACTTTGAAGACCCAGGTGCAAAGACAGGAGAGAAAGACAGGGAGAAGACAAAGCCATTTGCCCCAAGCCTCTCTGCTCCCAATCTTCTCCTCGGTGGGACTCCATCTGGCTGCTGCGGACTCTCTGTTTGCATCTGTCTCTTTCCGTTTTTCCCCTCTCTTTCTCCTCACCCTGTGTGTCTCCATCTGTCTCTCTGAGTCAGTCTCTCTCTTTCTCAAACCACAAAACATGGCTAAATGCAATTTCCATTGAGTGCAGAATCTTGTGTCTGTGCTTCATTATTCTGTCTGGATTGGTACATGTTTTCAATTGCATAATTCCCCTCCTTCCTCATTTTCTCCCCAAGACTTTCTCCCACATAATATGAGCATTTGGGGGCCAGCTTTTGACAGTTCTGCTTTTGAATGCTGTGAAAAGTAGAGCGAGTGCCTTTTTCAGTCCTGCACCACCAGGGAAGCGAGGTTGGCAAGTTCCCCCAGGGTTCCTGCCGAGCTTTGTCCCTTAGGCCAGTCTTTGGGAGGAGTGTCCCTCTGCCAGCATTCTCAAAGCCAAGGCTCTCCCTGCAACACCTGCCTTGGGGGAGGGTTCAAAGAGCATTTTGATGGCCTGCTCAAGACCTTCCACCCACATGGGTGACCACGGCATCAGATCCAAACTTCCCTCTCTGGCTGTTCACACCCTTAAACATCTGGACTGACCCTATTCATTTATTTCTTCATTTTTATGTAACTGGGCAGTATAACTTCTTGCCCTAACAGCCATTGCAGTTTTGAAATGGGGTTAATAGAAAGTGATCTAAATATTCAACAAGAAGAGAATGATTAAATGTATTATAGGATGTCCCACATGACCAGACATTACAAAATCATTAGAAATCATGGTTTGGACAGTTTTCAGAGTGGGAAAATACTCATGATATATGGTACTGTTAGAACCCTGATGATATAAAAATACATAGGCATTGAAAAATGGCTTAGAGAAAAGGACCAAAGTGTTAGCTCTTATTTTTGAATAGTGGGATTGCAGATGACTTTTTAAATTTTTCTTAATGTTCACAATAAGCATGTTTTATCTTTATAATCAGAAAACAAATATGCATTATTAAAACTAAATGAACTCTATTGGACAAAACGTCTTGTCTACAGCCCTTTACTCAAGGGGTGTTATAGGGATTCAGCACCTCTTCTTCCCCATAACTCCATGGGAAGGCAAACCACTGTCCAGGCCCTTTTCCTTGAGCTCAGGCGCCTGCCAGGCGGGTGGAAAGCCATGCTCTGCATTGCAGTTGATGGCTGCCCTGTCCCTGCCCCCCGGCCATATTTTCGAATGTGATTTGCAGAATGGACAGGTCCTGGTTGATGTCCCCGCAACTCTGCACTGCATTTCCAAAGCGGGGTACTGCCTCATCCCGTGAAACAGTGTCCTTGTTTCCCCTCATCAGATGATCCCTGTGGCCCCTGCATTCCCAGCACACACCCAGTGCACAGAGCAGCCACGCATTCTGACCCCTGCCGGGAGCTAGCACAGACACTGGCCTTCCAGACCATGTGCATGGAACCCAGAGCTCCCTGGTTCCAGCCCAATGTACTAGAAAGAGCACAGAGTTCTAGAAGCTTCAACTCTGCCATTAACTCCTGCCTGAGAGAAGAGGACCAACAATCCTATTTGCCATATGGAAAGTTACATATAGTGTGTAGGACACATTTTTTTTTTTTCAAATGGATTTTTGAGCCAGTTCTGAATACAAGCAGCAGTTAACAGTTCAGCTGCTTCAATAATGGTTTGGGGTTGGGCCCTGTGTGCCTTGGGCACCTTGGGCAAGTTTTCCCCCTCTCTGTGCCTCTGTTTCCTCATCTGAAAAACAGAAGTAATAATATTACCTACTTCATAGGATCATCATAAGGATTAAACAAACTGGTTCATGTGAAGTCTTGGTGAAGTGCCTGTCTGAAGTAGCCCACAGTCAATGTTAGCTACTATTGTTTTTATTCCGAGATGCAGGATATTTGACATTAGGGCTCTCCCAGAAAAACCCAGATGTAAGTCTCTGTGATGAATGCCAAATGAGGATTACCAATTAAAAGCCCTGCCTCAAGTCTGTTCCCGAGTGAGGTAGGAGGTATAAAGAAACGCAGGCTGCTGTGTGAGGGGATCGGGGGGTGAACATGGTGAACATGGGAGGGCTGCTCAGAGGGAGCACCCTGTGCTTGGCCTCTGTGGAGACAAAAGTGACTCCATCTTGGATGCTAATCCTCCATGTTGACTTCTGATTAGCTCCAGTCCTGTGAATGCCCCCGATTCCCGTTTTATTTACTGTCCTTTGTGTAAGAAAGTCAACCTTGATGTTATCATACAAATTATAAGCTATCACACATACAGCATCTCACCTGTTTTAGAGGGCTGCCTTTAATAGTCTTGCTGAAGCACGTATACCCTTTTCCTGTGGTATAGAAGCTCTGGGTCTGGGGGGTTGCTGGGTGGAGATCCACCTATCTTGTGGCCATCCAAGACCATGCTTCTGTCTATAAGTTCCCATAATCAATTTCACAGTACCGACAAACTGAATCTGTCTGCCGCCTTTGGTTTCTTGGCTCCTTCAGTATTTGAGGCTGCTTTTCATATACGGCCCTTTCACGGAACAGCTTTGAAGGAGGAGAGTAGGCAAAGAAAGGGGCTTGGCTGGGAAGGACAGGAGAACCCCTGGAGCAGAGGGGGCTGTGGCAGGCTTCCTCGGAAATTGTGGAATTCCGGCTGGGGCAGGGGCCCGTGGGTGGGATTGGGACAAGGGATATTTTTGAATCCATACCTGTGATGTCTACCCTTTTCCCAATGGTATCTTTTTACAACCACCTTGCACAGCAGGCTTATTTATAAATGAGGAAGTGAAGGCTCAGACTGGGCAGTGGCTTGCTCAGCACTCTGCACCTGAGAGGGAGGGAGCTGAGGTTTGAATCCAGAGTCAGGGAGCCCACTTAAGGCCTGTGTTACTGCCTTCCCCAGGGCCACGGAAACCTCTGCTCCAGGAATGGGGTAGGGAGGACAAGGCCTCAGAGGGAACATCTCGCTGCAGGGAAGAGGGAGCGGCTGAGGGAAGCCCGGCCCCAGGTGTGGGAGAGACACTGGGCAGCCACGTGGGGAAAGAGCAGAAAGTAGGTCAGTCACACAGGAGACGGAGCATGAAATTAATGAGCGTGCGGGAGCTGGAGTAGTCACCTTCAGGGAAGGCAGAGAGAGGAATGCAGTGCCTTTGGGAGAGGTGGTGGGGCCCCCCCGGAGGGTTTGGTGCAGGTGAGAGAAGCAGGATTGTGTTTTGGTGTTTTCTCTCCTTGCCCCCAGCATTGGGAGGATGTCTGTGGGGCAGGATGGGGAGATGATGGGAGAGTATAAGGGGTAGAGACTGGCAAGAGGTACTGACAGAAGCTCTATGAGGGCAAGGATCTTGTTTATTTTCTTAATGCTGACTGATTCTTGCTGCCTAGGCCAGTGCCTGGCATATCACGGGCAGATTTGAATGAATACATGATTAGAGACAGCTCTGCTATGGACGTTATTGTGTTATTGTGTGAACTGAGGAAGTAAAGCTTTTGTTCCTTATTTTTACCAAGGAGCACCAGCTGAATTCAGTAGCCTTTGCAGAGTCCCTGCCATGTGCTAGCCTGAGCTAGGTGCAGGGGAGACGGGAAGATGTAAGGTAGAGCCCTTTCCCTTACAGAGCTCACCATCCACAGGAAAGACAGGTTTGCACATGACTGTGACATCATGTGCTGAGCACATAAATGGATGGATAGTGGGGATGCAGAGAAGGGGCAGTTTTGTTGGGGGTGTGGAAGGTTTGAAGGTTGAGGACAGGGCTACATTATGATTTTCTTGCATCCTAAATCATTTTAACTTTGTGGACCCTTTCCTACACATACACACACACACACACACACAGACACGCACACACACACATCCCTAAAAAGTATATTTACAACCTCCTTGGTTTAGAAAAAATATATCAATATTACATTTTTTTTTGAGACAGAGTCTTGCTCTGTCACCCAGGCTGGAGTGCAGTGACTCAATATTGGCTCACTGCAACCTCTGCCTCCGAGGTTAAAGGGATTCTCCTGCCTCAGCCTCCCAAGTAGCTGGGATTACAGGTGTGCACCACCACACCTGGCTAATTTTTGCATTTTTAGTAGAGAAGGGTTTTGCCATGTTGATCAGGCTGGTTTCGAACTCCTGGCCTCAAGTGATCCACCTGCCTTGGCATCCCAAAGTGCTGGGATTACAGTCATGAGTCACCATGCCCAGCCTAATATTACATATTAAAACATGTTTTTTGACCTAAAATTTTTTTTTTCCTCTAATTTTAAAAGAAATTAAAATATTTCTGTGGACCCCTAACAGTGTTGTTGACCCCAGGCACTGGCCTAACATATAAGTTGGTCTGGGTGAGAAGGAATGTGTATGGCCAACAAGATGGAGACAGGTATTCCCGGGTAAAGAGAGTAGTGTGTAGACACAGAGGTGCGAGGTGCCAGAAAATTCTAGGAACAGCAAATTGTCCTGGTGAGGGGACAGTAGGTATTTGAAGAGACTGGCAGGAGATGGAATAGGAATATCGGATGGAGACACATGACTTTGAATGCCCTGCTTGGCACATCCTTTCACTAAGGGTTTTTGCCTCTATCAGGGCCTCTGGAACAGGGTTCAAAGGTTGTTGGTGAGAGGGGCAGACTCCTGGACCTCAACTCCAGAAGCTCTGCCAGGAATGTGGTAGGTGTCCCAACTCTAGGGACTCCTCACACTGGCTAGGACATGGTTGGGGGTGAGGGGTGTAAGTGAGAATCCTGGCTGGCTCCCTTTGTCTCTCCACGGTGCAACATGGGGTTCCTTTGGGGTTCCTTTGGGGAGACATCTTCTGGATTGCCTCATTGGGGCTGGTCTCTTGCTGATTGTGGGTGTGGATGTGGGGGTTCCTGCTCCTGGGACATCTCAGTTGGCCGTAGCTTGACTGATGCCATGGTAAGCAGAGATTCTCCAGGAAGTTATCTTCTCCAGCTGGGGCCCCTGAAGCTCTCAGGATTCTCCAACTGCAACCTGCCAGCTTGTCACCTCCAGTAGTAAGATTTTCTTCATGCTGGTTCAGTACTTTGTGAATATTCACAAAAGTCCCAGTGGGGTAGAGCAGGGATTACGCCCCTGGCTTACAGATGAGGAAGAGAAGTGACTCCCAAGAGCACACAGAGTGAGTGCACGGACAGATAAGATTTGAACTCATGTTGGTCTCATTCCAAAGCCCAGCATCACCACTGAGAACAGGTGTGAGTGGGGGCAGAGCTGGGGGCTGTGAACCTAAGGGAGATGTGGCGCCACAGGGAACCCCCTTCTCCTGCAGATGCCCCTGACCTCCAGCCCCAGGGCCATCAGCCCTGCCAATGAGGAGTGTGAGGCCTGCAGGGTAGAGTCAGAGGGTTTAAATCATAGACTCCTAGAGTCAGGACAGACCAAGAGGTCTTCTGACCTGGCCTGTGTCCATCAGCAAACTCTTACAGGTGTCTTTACAGGCGCCACATTGGGCCCTGGGTGTGTAGAAAAGGCTCTGACACTTCTCACCCCTCCAGGGACTCATGGTCCAGAGCATGGCTTCTCTGCTTAGTACTGTTGACACTTTGGCTGCATAATTCCTGGGGGCACTGTGCATTGTAGGATGTGTAGCCGCATCTCTGGCCTCTACCCACTAGATGCCAGTAACATCCCCATAGTTGTGACAACCAAAGATGTCTGCAGACATTGCCAAATAGTCCCTGTCAGATTCCTCTTAGTCGAGAAGCACTGGCTTAGGGAGAGGGGCAAGCCAACATATCCACACAGAGCTGAGCATCCTGCAGCTGGGCAAGACAGGAGGAGCTCTGGGGAATGGGGCCTGCCGGGGGGAAGGCCATTTCCCGATGGATTTGGGATCCAATCTCAGCATCCCTGTTCTTTTCTCCGTGACTTGGCTCCTCTGGTGGAAGCAGCTTCTGCTCTGGGAGGCTAGCCATGCTGCTTTGATCAGTCTGGCATTCTGTGCCCTGGATTCGTCTCTTGGTCTTGCTATGGCAAGAGCTGGTGCCCAGTCAGCTTTCATGCGTGTTAAGAAAGGCTCTGCTTGTTCCTTGGGATAGCCCTCTAAAAGCTGACTGGGTGGCCACTTAAATACTGTGCTTATTCAAAGAACAATACTTCAAGCAAGTGCTTCAGCATAAGTACCTCCAGGTCCCCCACTCCACGGAAGCTGCAGTGTGGGAAGACAGCTCTGCAGCTCTCAGCCTGGAGACTGGGTTCTCCTGGATCTTGCCTTTACAGTGACAAGACCCGGGCAGAAGTCCTTCGATCCACAGAGCTTCCACTTCCTTATCCATGAAGGGCATGGCCATCCCTTCCCTGTCTTCTCACAGTGTCCTGGGGTAACATTTATTATTTCACAGGAAAAGATATTGTAAATGGAAAAGTATCATACATGTTACCTATCTTCTGAGTTTCCAAGTGGCATTGGGGGTCAGAGTTTTTTCTTTCTTTTAAAAATTATTATTTGAATAGTCATTCACACATTTAACAAATGTTTACTGAGCTCCCACTATATGCCAAGAAGTCAGCAATGAGCACATCAAATGGGAGGAGATAATAAATGAGTGAATTACATTCAGTGTAGTAGGTGAGATGGTCACAAAGGCTGAGGGGAAAGAAGCAGTCATGTGGAGGAGGATGGATATTGAAATTTTAGATAGGGAACACCCCTTTGGAAGGTGCTATTTGAGTAAAAACCCAAAGGCAGTGAGGGAGCAGGTTATGCAAGTGTTATTACAGGCAGAGGGAACAGCAAACACCACACCCAGGGTGTTCAGGAACAGTGAGAAGGCCAGTGGTGGGTGGTGGGTGGTGGGAAGGGGACAGGGCAGGAAGTGAGGTTGGTGGGTGGAGAAGGAGGAGAAAGGTTGTCGAGGGGGCAGGGGTAAAGGAAGGCAGGTCATGGTGGGGACTTCGGCTTTTAACCTGGGTTTGGAGGCTTGTGGGGGGTTCTGAGTGGAGAAGAGATGAGACAGTTCCGGCCATGGCATGTAGGACAGACCTATTGACACCAACCATGTGTTTCAGGAGTCACAAAATTTGTTAATAATCCTCCCAAGAACCCAGTAAGAAAGTTAATCCTGCATTGCAGCTAGTTCAGGGACTTGTTCCTGGAGGGGACATAGGGATGGCCCAGCTGTGTCCTTGATAGAGCCAGGACTTGGTCCCCAGTCTGTCGGGCACCCTAAACCCTAAACCTAACCCTAACCCTAACCCTAACCCTAAAAAGCTCCTGGTGTTTCCACTAGGCCACTTCACTGCCTGTTGTCAGACCTGTCCCATCCTAAATCCTTATTGAAGCAAACGAAAAAGTCTCTCTGTGATTTAAGATGACCTCTGTCCTACCAAAGAGTTATTGTTGAAGACTTGCCTCTTTTTAAAAAACTATTTAAAAAATTTTATAGAGACAGAGGTCTCACTATGTTGCCCAGACTGGTTTCAAACTCCTGACCTCAAGCAATCCTCCTGCCTCAGCCTCCCAAAGTGCTGGGATGACAGGAGTGAGCCACTGCACCCAGCCTTTCTCAGAGATGGAGTCTTGCTCTGTCGCCCAGGCTGGAGTGCAGTGGTGCGATCTCCGCTCACTGCAACCTCTGCCTCCTGGGCTCAAGTGATCCTCCTGCCTCAGCCTCCTGAGTAGCTGGGATTACAGGTGCCTGCCACCACGCCTGGCTAATTTTTGTATTTTTAGTAGAGATGGGGTTTCACCATCTTGATCAGGTTGGTCTCGAACTCCTGACCTGAGGTGATCTGCCCGCCTTGGCCTCCCAAAGTGCTGGGATGACAGGTGTAGGCCATCGTGCCCGGCCTTTACTAATCTCTTACGTGTCAACTGTCACTCCACCCAGATGTTCACTTGGACTGGAGGTTGGTATGGGAGGTAGAAAAAGCTTGCTGGAATCAGGAGGCCTGAGCTCTGGTTTGGACTCTAACACATCATTGCTGCTTCACCTTTTCAGTTTCTCTGTCTTCAAAATCCCCTGCTCTGCCCGCCCTTCTCAAGGTGACAGTGAGGACCCCGAGGCAGAGGAGGGTTGGGAGAGCTCTGGGAGGAGAGGGGAACCCTGGATCGCACCTTCCTCCTCTACCAGGCTGCAGTGGGGGCTGAGTGCCCCTAGGTGGTGCAGTTTTCCCAGGCTGAGCTCCCAGCAGCTGCTGCCAAAGGGGGCTGGAAGATCTGGGGGAGACAGAGGGGCAAAAGTGATACCGAAGCCCAATAAAGTGGAAGTTTGAGGTAAAAGCCTGCACTGAGGATTCCTGCTGCTCCTCCGATGGGCACTATGGGGATTAGTGATGCAGGGCCCTCTGGCTGCCCTGGCCACCAGATTCTGCTGTGGGATGTTGGCTGCAGTCCCTGGAGTTGTGGTATGAAGGCCAGGGGTGTATACAGTGTAGCGCCCACTCTTTCACAGATGAGGAAGTGGAAGGCTAGAGAGTGGGGGGCTTGCCCAGTCACCGTGGGGGCAGGGATAGCTGCTGTGGAGCTGGGCTGTCTGCGGAGGAGTTGCTCCCTGGCAGGACCCTCTGTAGACAGCATGTAGTGCCGCAGCTTTGATTTTGGTCAATTTCTCCTAGCTGGTGGCCCACCCCTCTCTGGCATCTCCTTTTGGGCTTGCCCTCCTTCCCGCTCCGTGGACACTCTCAGGAAAGGCCAAAGGAGCAGTCATTTGCTTCTCATATAAAGAGCTGTGTCCCAGGGCAGTGGAAGAACGCCGCGCAAGGGTCAGGAGACGTGGGTGTTCGGAGGCTCTGTCGCTACATAGGGCCCATGGCTCTTCTCTCTCTGGCCTTGCTTCCCTTATCTGTAAAGTGGGGTGGGCAGGAAAGAGAAGGTTGGAGAAGGAGAGGGCTGGGCTGGATAGCCCCAAGGTCACTTTCTAGCGTGGACATTCTGAGTAGCACTTGAAGCTTCCCTTCTGTTCATCAGGGGACAGGTGGGGGAAGGAAAGGCTTCAGTTCTCTCATTTAAAAAACACAAGGGAGTGGACGAGATGATGTGTCATTCTGGCTCTGACATCCGGCTCAGCGAAACTGAGAGGCAGTCATCAAGGCCAGAACCAGCCCCTTGGAGCTGCCCACACTTGATGGCACCTGTCTTGGGAGGTGCAGACCTGCTTCCCTCAAGGTGGACCGGCATGCCCCCCAGCGAGACCGGCCTCCTTCCGAGCTGGCTCCTGAGCCACTGCAGAAGTTCTTCCTCCCCTGTAGAGCTGAAGCCCATCTGCACATCCAAAGGGTGTTCCTTCCCGGGCTTCATTACTAACAGGCTGCCTCCCTGGCCAGATGAGCCTCTCGGGGACCTTGGGCTCTTTCCAAAATCAAATCTTCCTTCAAAGAAAGTAAGAGATTGGTCACCATGGAGGAAATTCAGAGAATGACAGCTGGAGGATTGAGGGGAAGGGGAGAGAACACCCACTTATTGTCAGCCAGCCATGCGATAGGCACCACTCAGTCCCCTTCCTGTATATTAACTCAGTTCATCCTATCAACCAGGAATTTATTATGATCATCCCCTGTTTGCAGATAAAGAACCACTGAGGATATGAGTTATTCTTCCTACAGTTGTACAGCTTGTGAACAGTAGAGCTGGGGTCCGAGCCAGGTCTCTGACTCTGCAGCCTACCCTTGTCCTGCTTGAACACACTGAGGAAGACAGGAATAACAGGACATGGGTCAGAAGGCTTGGCTTCTGCTCCAGCTTTGAAGTTGAAGGATTAGGTGACAGCTAACACTTGATAGTATTTTATGGTTTCAAAGTGATAACCATGTAATATTTTAATTGATTCTCAGCCCATTTTGTAGATGAGGAAACTGAGGCTCACAGATCTGATGACTTCCTAATTGTGGCAAACTACCAGCTACACAGTAGCTGGGCTGGCTTCGAACCAGGTCTTTTGACCCCAGAGTCTGTGCAGCTCACAAATAAAGCTGATTCTTTGACAAGTTAAGCCTCTTCTCTTGGATTCATTTTTCCAGTCTGTGAAAATGAGGGATTGGATTAGATTAGTAGGCAATCACTAGTTCCCAGGCCCTTTTATTTAAAGAAAAAAAGGAGAACCCATAGAGTCTGGCAACTTAAACTTTTGCTAAGTATGAACACTTAAAAAAAAAAAGAACATTTTGTCTTCAAAAAGCTAGGGGGATATTATCTCAGTGTAGTGGGGAGAAAAAAAATAGTAACTGAGAACACAATTCCTCTTAGGAATTAAGTGAGCTGTGTTTAGCATAACACTTTGATGAACCATTGTGGTTGTACCAAACTGCTCTCTGGGTCTGGCTGGAGCGGGCCAGAAGGGAAATGGAACTAGAATAATTCTCTGCAAAAGAATTGATTTGCAGTGGGGATTTGGAAGGCTGAGCAAGCTAGTGACATGAAGAGGAGATGCTGAAGGAAAGTCCAGATCCAGGGCAGGGATGAGAGTCCCAGAGACGAGCAGCAAATGTTCTTCAGGTGGGAGGCAGAGAATGAGCAAAGGGCCCTAGGGAGAGGAAGGTCTGGTATTCCATTTCCACAGGGAGGTGTCTGCTTTCCTGGTGTCAGTCAACCTGTGGATACTCTGGCTCTCTTGTCAAAGTGCCCTTGCACAGTGCAGGAGCTTAGTGAATGCAACCTTGGCAGTGTAAGTTTAGGGAGCCCTTGGTTAGGAATCATCCAGATCTGGCAGACCCGAGTTTGAGGCCCATCTCCATCATTTGGAAGTTCTATGAACTCTTTAATCTTCAGTTTCCTTCTCTGAAATGGATATAACACTCCGCACCTAGAAGGCTGATACAAGAAATAAGTGCGACCATGGACTTAGTACTTGGTGCTCAAGCCTTCAGTAAACAGCTACTTAGCTGCCTGTTACTATTAATCATGGTTATTTGGATATTCACAATTTTACTTACTGTGGCAAGCTTGTAGGAGGTTTTTGTTCTGTTTGGGAAGCGGGGTGGCTTTTGCTGCTGTTAATTCAGTGCAGGATCGGGCAGGAGTATCATCTGGAAGGGAAGGGAAATGGGTGGGGTACTAAATTCAACACCCTCAGCCCTTTCAACACTGCCAACACCAACCTCAGCCCTTTCTATGTTTTCAAGGCTGAGCACTGTCTACATCTGAGAATCTGCTTCCTTGGAAATGACAGCATATCCTTCCAGGGCTAAGCTCAGAGGGCAGATCTCCTGCCAAGGACAAGCTGAGGGCCAGTGGGGTGGGGGAAGACACAGGGAAGAGGAGGGAGAGTGAGTAGGAGGAGGTGTGAAGAGGAAGGAAAAGTGCTTCCAGGAACTGACAATCACTCACAGAAGCAGAGGGAGGTGCGTGTGTGCATGCACATATTTGCACCCACATAAATATGTAATCACAAGCATGCATCAGGTAGCAGGTGCATGCGACGTGTATGTGTAGGTGTGACTGTGTGTGACTGAGTGTGCGAGCCTGTCCATGTATAAGCATGTCAGTGTGTGACTCTGCCTGTAAGCGGTTGGCTCTGTGTGTGTGTTTTTGAGAAGTTCATATGTACATGTACCTCAGGTAAGCTTGGGCGTGCTGGACTGGAGTGTGGGGTTGGCTCTGTGACTCTCTGAGTGACAGTGAGAGGAGGCTTCTGTCCTGTAAGAGTATCTTGGCAGCACTCAGGGTGTATGTGTGCCCCTAATGCATGTGGGATGTCTAAAAGCAGGGACCTTCTACAGCTTCTTTGGGGAGACCCAGACCCCTCACCCCACCCCACAGCAAACTATGTCTCCCTTCCAGGTCCATACCAGCCCCACCACTGACACCTCCTGCTGGCTGCTGGCCTGGACAGTGGGGTGGGGAGGAGAAAGGGAGGAATGGAAGGAGTGAGAGGAGTGACCAGCCTCCTAGCCCCAACCCTTGGTGCTGCCAGGGAAACATCCTCCTCCCACCCCCCATCCCCCAATCACCGTGATTCCTGCTGTGAGGGAGATAGGAACCCTCCGTTTCCATGGCAACATAGCAGCCCTGCTTCTCAGCCTGAGCCCAGGCTCCTCTGAGCCATGGAAGTAGTGGGAAGAAAGCCCCTCCTCAGGTTTTTGAGCCCCCACCAAGTGCCCTCACCTGTATACTCCCTACCCCTACCCCAAATATCCCCCACGCTTCTGTAATATTCATGACCCTGCTGGGACTCCTGAGCGCACACCCACCACTGCCTCCACTCCCAGGGTCTGGGGACTGGTCTTGTAGGCAGGAAAGACCACATGTGAGTTTGAGCCCTGGAGAGTGGCAGGATGGAGTTGAATTCCAGTCTTCACCTGTAAAATGGTACTAACATTACTACCTCTCAGGGTTCTTGTGAGAGGCAAATAAGACGGTGCTGTGGAGGTGCTTTGTAAATTCAGGGTACGGGATGGGTGGGTGTGTCATGCACTGATGAAATGTAAATTGACTCTGCTTCTTTGAAGGGGCAACCCTCCCTCATGACTTCACTTCCGGTTCTCTCCCATAGAAACACACATGTGCTCAGAGAGGCTCACATGGGATTATTTGTTGCAGGCTGCTCTGAAATAGTGAAACTTGGAAACAACCCCAATGCCCACCAATGGAGAAGCAGTTAAAAGAGTCATGGTGCATCCATAGACCTACAGCTCTTAAAAAAGGCATCTATGTGTGCTGATGGGGCACACGCACTAAGACACGTTTCTAAGTGAAAAAAATCAAGTTGAAGAATAGATACAGTATGATCCTATCTATTAGGCATGGTTTTTAGCATGTGAGTACATGTATGGTCAGGCCAGACTGTTGGCAGTGGGAATGGGACTGGGGAGCAAGGCAGTGAAGGGGAACTTTGATTTTTTTCTTCTATGTGTCTGTCATCTGCTTGCTTATATAGCAAATGTAATTGAAAAGTTCTGGCCAGGCATGGTGGCTCACACTTTTAATCCCAGCACTCTGGGATGCTGAGGCAGGTGGATCATTTGAGGCCGGGAGTTCAAGACCAGCCTGGCCAACATGGCGAAAACCCATCTGTACTAAAAATATAAAAATTAGCCGGGCGTGATGGCACGAACCTGTACTCCCGGCTACTTGTGAGGTTGAGGCACGAGAATTGCTTGAGCTGGAGAGGCAGAGGTTGCAGTGAGCTGAGATAGCACCATTGCACTCCAGCCTGGATGACAGAGTGAGGCTCTATAAAAACAAACAAACAGACAAAACTTCTGTGTCACTATTGTTATAGTTGATGAGAGAAAACATACAGGAGACAATCGGAGAACAGGGCAAGAGAGTATAGAATCTAGTACCAGAAAAGCTTGGAGGAGAGAGGGGGAAAGTCAAGAGAGCTTCCAGGAGGAGGAGAAAGGTGAGCTAGATCTCAGAGGATGAGGAGAACTCAGAGACTTGAAGCACAGAGGAGGGCAGTCCAAACAAAAGTGAAAACTTGGAAGTGAGGAAGTGCGCTCCAGGCAGGGAGGCTTGGAGGTAGAAGAAAGAGCAGAGGTCTTGGCATCAGATGCCTAGGGGCTGATTCCCATCTTGGCCACATCCTGAAGCTACAGTTCTGGGTAAATCACTTGCATTGTCAGTGTCCTCATCTGGAAATGGGATAATAGTGCATATCTCACTAGATGGTTGTGAAGATTGGTTGATGTCGGTATAGAGGAAACCGTAAGATATCATATAGATGTGAATTTACTGTTGTTGGTTTCTCCCAGGGGACAATGAGGCACAGACATGACTATAGTCTACCTATTTGCCAATGCTTGGTGAACGCTAGTCAACCCTTTACCGATCTGGTCAGGTTCAGGCCCACGCTCAAGGTGCTGGGAGATACAGAGCCAGCATGGATTCTTCAGCAAGGGAGGGAAGAGAAGATCTAAAAATGACAAAAACCCTTGATTAGGACCCACATTATGCCAATCATGAGCTGGGTATTTTAATGTATTTATTCAATCTTCTCAGGTACTTTATGAGATGACTGTGCCTATTTTTCAGGTAAGGAAAAAAATTCAGAGAAATTCATTCATTCATTCATTCACCAAATACTCATTGAACAGCTTCCATGGCAGACACCATTCTGGTTGTTGAGTGAAGGAAAATCCCTCCCCTCATGCAGTGTACAGCCAGCCTGATAGGGGAGACAGACAATGAAACTAACAAATCTTTGAGGTTATGCCAGGTGATAATGAGTGCTTTGAAAACAAAGCTGAGAGCATGACGAGGTGGTAGGACAGGTCACTCTGACTTTTTTTTTTTTTTGAGATGAAGTTTTGCTCTTGTTGCCCAGGCTGAGTGCAGTGGCATGATCTTGGCTCACTGCAACCTCTACCTCCTGGGTTCAAGTGATTCTTCTGCCTCAGTCTCCCTAGTAGCTGGGATTGCAGGTGCCCGCCACCACGCCCAGCTAATTTTTATATTTTTAGTAAAGATGGGGTTTCGCCATGTTGGCCAGGCTGGTTTCAAATTCCAGGCCTCAGATGATTTGAGGCCAGGAGTTTGAGACCAGCCTGGCCAACATGGCGAAATCCCATCTCTACTAAAAATATAAAAATTAGCCGTCCTCCCAAAGTGCTGGGATTTCAGGCATGAGCCACTGTGCCCGGCCATGTCACTCTGACGTCTAAGCAGGGAACTGAATGAAGCCCATGTAGACCATCCTGAGCAGAGGCATAGCCTGTGCAGAGGCGCTGGGGTGGGGGCATGCTTGCTGTAATGAGGGCTGGGTTGGGGAAGGAAAGAAGGCAGGTGTGGTAAGAGAGTGGCTGAGGTTGGAGAGAAGTGAGGGATGTGGAGGTGCATATTATATGGGACTTTGGAGGTCAAAGCTAAGACTGTGGATTTAATTCTAAATGGGTTGAGAGGTCATTGGAGGGATTTGACCAGAGGTGTGACACCATTTCAGAGTTAGGTTTTAAAACAATCACTCTGGCCATGGAATGCAGATAAGACTGTAGGGAGCATGCATGGGAGCTGAGGGGTTAATTAGGAAGCTGCTGTACACGTCCAGGTGAGAAGAGAAAGACAGAGCACAGTGGCAGTGTGGAGGTGGTAAACAGCAGTCAGCTTTGAAATATATTTCAAAAACAGAAGCAACAGGGTTTCCTATTGGATTGAACGTGGACTATGAGCTAAAGGGAGGAGTAAAGCATGACTCCATGACTTTGGTCCTGAGCAACTGGGTAAATGTCAGTGCCATTTACTGAGATGGGGAGGATGGTGGAGGAGCAGGTTTGGGGGCAATTAGGATTCACTTTGATTTTGAGATGGCTTTAGACATCTAAACGGAGATGTCAGGTGGGCAGCTGGATGTATGTGATGGAATTTCAGGGGAGATGTCAGGACTGGAGCTATAAATTGGGACATTGTCAGCATATAAATGCTGTGGAAAACCATGGGATAGGATGAAATCGCCCAGGGAGAGCGTGCAGCTGGAGGACAGAAGAGGCTCCTGGGTGCTTTGGCTTTTGTAGGTCTGGAAGATGCATCCTCTTGGGAGACTTGCCTGGCATCTCCCTGGAAAAGATGCTCTCTTCTATCTAGGCAGGGAAGCCTGTGCAGGGCAGGGGTTCTCAGAAACACTCAGGCTTATGGAAACACATATTGCTAATCCCAGCCCCATGGGTCTAGGGAGACCACACTTTTAGGATGACTGGTCCAGCGGGAGAAGGACTTGCAGCGAGACCATAGATTTTGGAGCCAGGTAGAACTGGTTTCCAAACCAGGCTGTCCCACCAATTTGCTATGTGATCTTGGGTGAGAGTGCCTGTCCCTGAGCCTCGGTGTCCTTTTCTGTAAAATGGGAACAATAATACCAATTGCTCAGGGTTATTGTGAAGGTCAAACAAATTAGCATGTTTTCAGCTTTTAGGAACAGTGCATAGACAGGTGCGGATTGGGAAATGTCACATCTATCCTCTGAAGAAGCCCTGGGGCAGGCAGGAGTGACTGGTTTCTGTCCTCTCAGATGGCTCTAGGTTGTCAGCTGGAACCCTGGTGGGGGCAGCTGGGCAGACAGATGTCCCTGTTTTGATGCCTTGTCTCAGGATAGCTCTGAGACTTGAGTCCTGGAGGGAAGTAATGTCCGGCAAGGCTGCCTCACCCCTGGGATCCTGCTGTCCCCTAAGCCCTTCTGCTGCCCACTCTGTCTCTGTCTCCATGTTCCACCACAGGACCCTTCCAGTCCTGGTTCCTGAAGAGCTCCCGATGTCCCTTCATCTCCACCTGTCTCCAGTGACCAGTGACCACTTCCCCTCTTTCGCCCTCACTTCCCCTCTTTCGCCCTCACTCTCCCTCTTTTGCCCTCACTCTCCCTTCCTGGACCTTGTCACTCAGCTTCCCTAGAAAGGGAGTGTGGCCTGACCACAAGAACCTGGCCAGGAGTCAGGCAGATGAGGGTCCAGCTGCCAGGGACAGGAGCAAGCTGTCATCTCCATGGCCCAGCAAAATGGGGGTGATACGTGCCTGCCTGAGGGTCAGTGGGGGCCAGCGGGAGACAGCGTGTGCAAAAGCACTCAATTTCCAGCAGGGATGCGATACATGCTCCTTTCTTTTCCTCCTGTTCTCCACTCTCTCCCCACCACATGCCAAGAGCCTCCCTCTCCCATGGCTGCAGAGCCAGCCCAGGTCTGGATGCGCCAAGAGGAGAGAGGAGGCTGCCTCCACCCTCCCCGCTGTTGCTATTTAATGCCGCTAACAATGGATTCATTAACTGGGATTAATCTCATATACCAGCTCTCTATCCCCTTGGCTATTAATCACTCACTTCATTAACAGGACAGCATTAGCCAACCTGGGAGCCAAGACATGGTGCCCATACCAAGTACCTGTGTCTGCACCTCCTCATCTTTCCTCCTCACTGGTCCATCTTCTCCCTGCCTTTCTGCCTCTGGCCCGGTTCCTGTTGCAATCAGGCAGACACACGTGCCTCTCTCCCCATGTTTGCCACTGTGGCCTTGCTTCTGCCTCTGATGCCTTCTAAGCATCTGTTTCTCTTTTTCCTCCTAGCTGGAGCCTAACACGTAGTAGGGTCTCTTTACAGGCTGGCTGAACAAAGCACTAAGAGATACAAATAAGGAGATGCCAATTCCAGGAGGCTCATTTTTAAAAATTGCCTTTTCTGTTTACAAAGATAATATATGCTCACTGTACAAAATCCAAACAACACAAGAAAGGAAGAAAGGAGAAAATAAAAATTCCCTGAAATCTCCGCCATCACAAGATAATAACCTTTAGCGTTTGGTGAGCATCCTCTCAGATCTTGAGTGATATATATATATAGTTTTACCTAAATGGGATCATACTATGCATGCTGTTTTGCAACCTGCTTTTCCACTCAACAATATGTTGTCGAAATCTTTCCGTATCAGTGAATATAAATATACATCATACTTTTTAATGGTTGCATAGCATTCTGTTTTATGGAAGTAACATAATTTAGTCAATGGATTTCCTATTGAACATTTACATTGTTCCCATTTTTTCACTGATATATTTGACATACAGAACAACATTCTTATATATACATCTCTGTGCATTTGCCTAATTGAGTCCTTAAGATTAATTCCCAGAAGTAAAATTTCTAGGACAAACGATTTGAACAATTGACATTTTGGTATGGAATAGCATAGGAGAGCCACCTGCCTGGATTCAATAACAATTTTGCCATTTCCTAGCAAAAAGATCTTGGGAAAATTATCTTTAACTTCTTGGGCTTCAGTTTCCTCATCTGTAAAATGGGAATAATAACAGGATTTACTTTATGAGATTACTGTTTGGATGAAATAAATTCTTTATATGCAAAGCACTTAGAACAATGCCTGGTATGTCATAAAAGCTATATATATTAGCTATTGCTGTGGGGTCATTGGCCTGCTGGCCTCCAGAAACAATGAACCTTCCCACGTCTCTCCCACCATCAGCAGTGTGGGAGAAAGCCCCCTTTCTTACACCATTGTCAGTTTAAAAAAACTGGGCGCAGTGCCTCACGCCTATTATCCCAGAAATTTGGGAGGCCAAGGTGGGTGGATCACCTAAGGTCATGAGTTCGGGGCCAGCCTGACCAACATAGTGAAACTCCATCTCTACTAAAAATACAAGATTAGTTGGGCGCAGAGGCAGGCACCTGTAATCTCAGCTACTGGGGAAGCTGAGGCAGGAGAATTGCTTGAACTCAGGAGGCGGAGTTTGCAGTGAGCCGAGATCACACCACTGCACTCCAGTTGGGGCGATAGAGTGAGACTCTGTCTCAACAAACAAACAAACAAACAAACAAACAACTTTTGCCCACCTTATAGGTGACAATTGATACATCCTTCCACTTGCATTTTTCATCGATACTGAACTAGGGCATATACTTGGTTCTTAATGGACAAATGGACATTCTTACTTCATCTGTGAGTTGTCTGATCATGTTCTTTGCCCATTTCTCTATTGGAGTATTTGTTTTTTTCTTATTTGTGGGAGCTCTTTCGTAAGTTAAAGATAGTATTCCTAATATTTTTCTACTTCATCCTGACTTTCAACCATATGTATTTTTTGTCCCGCATAAGTACTTGATTTTTATGTAGTTAAGTCTGTAGGGTTTTTTCCCTTACTGCTTTTAGAGTTTGTGCTGGGCTTAGAAAGGCCCATAATACAAATATTCACACTTTGCTTTAGTACTCGTGTGGTTTCACTTTTTATACTATATGTTTTTATCCTTTTGAGTTTATTTTTGTGTAAAGAGTGAAGGACAATTCCAGCTTTATTGTTTTCCAAATGGTTGGTCAGTTATCCTGACAACATTTGATTTTCCATCTTTCCCCCAGTGAGAACCAGAGAGGGAAAAAGGGCAAATCAATACTGTTCCAAGACAGAAAGGGGAGCTAATGGGTCAAAGGGCAATTCTGGACAGTATTCCCCAGAGTCTGTTAGGAGTGAATCCCTGGGGGGATCCCTCTTCACTGTAGTTCTGCTTGCCCTTCATGGGTGGAGGCTGGGGGGTGCTGGGTGGGCTGAACCAGGCCCTGCAGTATTACAAAGCCCCTTTAGGAGCCTCTCATGTGCAAGCCAGTCTTGTTCCCAGATCTCAGAAATTAAGAAGAAAATCTGTCCTTCCCATTTTGAAGTCAATAGCCTTGTAACTTTGGATCTTTGTCCTCTAACCTCACCCCCATTATCCCCCCAGCCACTCATCCAGAGCCTCCATACTAGCACATCAACATATATGTAATCCATCTTGTCTTTCTCACCAATGCTGCTACTTGTCCTGGCAGGGAGCCCCAGAGATGATTTAGGATGCCCCCCCTTGGAAGGCAGCCCAGAGTCACGGCAGCCTGTGTGTATGTTGGAGATGGAGAAAAGGGAAGGCTAGGTGATGGGAACTGCAGCTTCCAGGTTGCCTGTGGAGGAATAAGCCTGGATTCTCACCATCGGTGCCTATGCCCCAGGTTTGGGCTGCTTGAATCCTCTTTGCCAATTTGTTTAAGGCAGCTTGGATTTGACTGTGGTCTAGGCAGAGAGAGGGGTTTGTCCTGGAGTTCTCTGGCCAAGTGCTCAGCACCGAGGATCCTGGAAGACACAGGGTGATGGAAACATCTCTGTGGTCCACTCTGCAGCCTTGCTCTTTCCTGGGAGACCCAGCCCTTATATGACCTCAGATCCCCAAGCCATCCCCAGCTCAGGGACACAGCTTGGCTATGAGGCCAGGAGGACAGGCACAGGCAAGTCCAGAGTCTGTGTCAGGCAAAAGGCCAGGCTGGGCAGTTATCCTGTGGGCACAGAAGGTGAATTATGGCACCAGCACCCATGGAGCAGACACAAATCACAGGGCTGTCAGGAACAGGGGAAAGGCAACGCCCGCCATCCTCCCCAGAAGGATTGATGGATTCAGGTCCTGGGTCTGGGTTCAAAATGATTGGACTTTATGATGTTTCATTTCCCCAGATGCTCCTGGTGAAAAGCTTGTCACCTAGGACTGTATGTGTGAGTGTGTGCATGTATTTATCACCATACATGCCTTGCTGGGACTATGCAGGAGAGTGACTTTCTACAGAGCTCGCTGTATGGTTCTGATTTTATTTTTGTGTGATTGAATTGTGTGAATGTTGTAGGAGTGTGAATTTTGTGTTAAATAGGACTTGGTGTGGCTCTTCACAAGGATGAAACAAGTTTTGTATGTGGCTATACAAGACTGTGTGTGTCTACTGGAGAATGAGTTAGAGATCTTGAGTTGGTGTGTCTGGGTGCTGATGTGGCTACAAATCGAGAAAGGGAAAAGAGGAGTGAAAGCAGATTGGGAAGGACAGTTTTGGTTGCAATGAGTCTGAGGTCTTGGCGGAACATCAAGGGGAGACATCTAGAAAAGTGGGACAGGAGCTCAGGGGACAGTAAAGGGCAGGAGGGCATTGGCTCGGGCTGCCTTCCAAACCCTTTCAGATGACAATGCCTTGGGGTGGTGGTATTTGGCTGGAATGAGGAAAACACACTCATGTGCACACGTGTGTGCACACACGCTTACACTCTTCTTTGAAGACTAAAAGGATACATGCTATAATTTCAGCTGGACAGAGCTCAATAGGAAATTTCCAAGGGTTGCTGGATGCGCCCGAGGGTGAGAGTCAGGGAACTCTTCCTGGCAGTGGTGAATATTCAAGGGAATCTCCTTGGTGCCCTCAGGGAACTTGTTGTCTATACACCTTGCTAGATTGCAGGCTTCTTGAGGTCAAGGAAGGTGTCTATTGTATGGTATGCTCTGCTGGCCTTCCTAAATGGTGCTTGGCAGACATTAGGCATTTGATAAATATTTGTTGAATGTATGAATGAATGACTCCTACAATTAGGGACAGGCTTGGTTCTGAGCTTTGGGCAGGGTTAATGGGTGGGGAGTTGATGAGGAGCCTGGTCTGTTGGAAGCCCCTGATGCTCTCTGAGCACAGAAATGATATGACCACAATGGGCTCAAGGGCAGTAAGGACACCAATGTGCACAGGAGGGGTAAGAAGGTCAGCCGGGACCCCGTGCTCATCATGTAGGCATTAGGTTCCAGCTACAGAACCAGTGTTCAGAGAATTGGCAATGCCGTTATGAAGACATGATAGGTTGAAGTGGTGAGTGTTGGGGGCAATATCTCTGAGTCGTGATGTCAGAGACCTATTGCAAAATAAGGATGGTAATAGCATCTACCTTACAGGGTCACTAAGAAGAGTACACAAAGTGTCCAAAGAACTTAGTCTAGTGTCAAGAGGTGCTCAGTAAGTAATTAAACCTTGGCTTTGCCTTTGCCAGTTTGTTTGTTTGTTTGTTTGTTTGTTTGTTTTGACAGAGTTTTGCTCTTATTGCCCAGGCTGGAGTGCAATGGCATGATCTTGGCTCACTGCAACCTCTGCCTCCAGAGTTCAAGCGATTCTCCTGCCTCAACCTCCTGAGTAGCTGGGATTACAGGCATGCACCACCATGCCTAGCTAATTTTGTATTTTTAACAGGGACGGGGTTTCACCATGTTGGTCAGGCTGGTCTCAAACTCTAACCTCAGGTGATCCACCCGCCTCGGCCTCCCAAAGTGCTGGGATTACAGGTGTGAGCCACTGTGCCCAGCCACCAGGTTCTTAACCTAAGCAATTTACTGTTCCAGTCTCCATCCCAAGGTAATTGTGAATTAATCCTGGTTCTTTCTCATTCCAACAAGAACTCCCAGAGTGCGATACACCAGGGCTATGCTCTCTGCAACTCTTTAACTTTCCTGAGCCTCTATTTTTTTTAATCTAGTTAAATGGGGGTAGCCTCCATTTCTTTATCTAGTTAAATAAAAGGGGGTAGTAACACCCTAAAATGTATTATATTATTTGACCCTCATATCCCCTAGCTGATATGAGGGTCAAATAACACATCTCAGTGTGCTTTAGAAACTGCAAAGGACTGTTAACATGTGAGGAATTACTGTTCCTAATATTTTGTTGGAGTTGGGCTCATTCCTGGGCCTGGCATCTGCTTTGACTTTCTCAGTTCCTGTTTCTTGCCAGTCTCCGTTTTCTCGTAGCCACCCACAATTCTGGCACTGACAGTGTAAGGATATAAGATGATATCCAGGGAGTCTGAATGTAGAAAGAAAAAGAAGGAAAGTGACAACAGCTAGCAGCCCTCTCTCTTGTTCCCAGGCTTACCACCTTTCCAAGTCAGCAGACCCCAAACCCGGGCACCATCCATGTGCCAGTTAGCTATTGCTGCATAACAAACCACTCCAAAACTCAGAGACTTAAAACAACCTTTTATTATCCCTCATGGCTCTTGGGGTTGATTCTAATGGGTAGTTCTACCTTTCGGACCCTTGTAGAATTGTAATCAGAGGGTGGTTGGGGCTGGAGTCCTCTGAAAGCTTGGCTGGACTGGACATTCAAGATGGCTTCTTTCACTCATATGGCTGGTGCCTGGGCTGGAATGGCTGGAACAGATCAGGGCTGGCCAGCTCTCTCTCTCTTTTTCTCCATGCAGCCCCTTTATATGGCTTCTTTGGGCTTTCTCATAGCATAGTGGTCTTGGCATAGTTGGATGTAATGGCAACTAGCTTCTCCCAGAGTGGGCATTCTAGATGACCAAGGTGGACGTTTTATGGCTTCTTCTGACCTAACCTCAGAAGTCACAAGGCCTCACTTCTAATGCATTGTATTAGTTACACACGGTCAACCCCGATTCAATGTGGGAGGGGAATACACAAGGGCATGACTACTGTAAGCCACAGCTCATCGGGGAGCTGTCTTTGGAGACTAGCTAGCAAGATCCTTGTCTGGTAATTGAAACACTGCTCCATGGTGCCCTCTCAGAGGCCAGGGTTTGGGAGGGGGGCAAAGCAGGCAGCAGTGAAGCACTGAGCAGCTAGGACTCCTGGCCCCCAACTTCATTTAATATGTATTTATTATTAATTATTATTTCATATTTTGAAGTTTTACAAAGAATTTAATGTAAATTGAAAGTCCTGAGGCTCATTTTGTCAAAGAGATACAAATGGTAAATAAGAATATGAAAATATGCTCAACAACATTAATCATTAGGGAAATGCAAACTAAAACCTCAATGAGATATCACCACACACCTATTAGAATGGCTAAAGGGATAGTAATTTTTAGAAAACCGATAATATCAAATGTTGTTGAGAATGAGAACCACTAGAAATCACACACATTGATGGTGGGAATGCAAAATGGGGCAGCCGCTTTGGAAAACAGTTTGGCAGTTAAACATACACTTACCATATGATCCAACGAGTCCACTCAGATATTTAGAGAAATGAAAAGATACATCCACACAAAGACCTGTACACAAATGTCCCAGGCAGATGTATTCATAATAGTCCCAAACTGGAAAAAAAAACAAACCGATCCATCAACTCGTGATTGAACAAACCTGTTGTGGTACATCCATACACTATTCCATTTAATACTTCTCAGCAATAAGACAGAATGAACTACTGATACACACATCTGCATGGATGAATAGCAAAGAAACTGAGTCAAAGAAACTGGATTGAAGGCTGTATACTATACAGATCCGTTACGACAATCTCTGGAAGAGGCAAAAGGGCTGTCACAGAAGGCAGATCAGTGGTTGCAGGGCCTGGCAGTGGGCTTAGGTACAAAGGGACACAGGAGAACTTGCTGGGATGACAGAAATGCTCTGTGACTTAACTGTGGTGGTAGTTTCGCAAGTGTTCACATTTGTCAAAATCCGTCAAACTGTCTACCTAAAAAAGGTGAATTTTTCTGAATGTAAATCATACAGTCCTGCAGCTAACAGACTTTGAAAATCCAGACTCCTCTTTCTCCCGCATGTTCCCTTATGCAGAGCAGGGCCTGTCTCTGGCCTCCAGTACTCCTGTGCGCCGCACAGTCCTGCCCTCTACCTTGGAGCCTTTGTGCGCTGCTTCCTCTTCATGGATTCTTTCCCATCTACTCTTCCCTACTGCTAACTCTTTTTTTTTTTTTTTTAAAGACAAGGTCTGGCTCTGTTGCCCAGTCTGGAGTGCAGTGGCACGATCATAGCTCACAGTATCACAGTAGCCTCTAACTCCTGGGCTCAAGCAATCTTCCTGCCTCAGTTTCCTAAGTAGCTGGAACTACAGGTAGGCACAATGATGACCGGCTAATTTATTTTAAATTTTTTGTAGAGACAAGATCTCTCTATGTTTCCCAGGCTGATCTTGAGCTCCTGGCTTCAAACCATCCTCCTGCCTTGGCCTCCCAAAGTGCTGGGATTACAGGCATGAGCCACTGTGCCCACCACTGAACTCTTATTTATCCTTCAGGCTTCAGCTAACTCTCACTTTCCCAAAGTGGCCTTTTGGCCCTTCCAATCTAAATTAGGTGTCTATTTTTACATGCAGATAACACACTTGCTTTTCCTTTCCTCTATTAGAAGGTAAGCTGTGTGCAGACAGGGACAATGCTTTGCTCATCTCTGGCACACAATTAGTTCTTAGTTTCATGAATTAATAAACGTGAGAGGGATATCCACATGTTCCTCTCTAAAGTTCTGTATTGCATGAATTTGTTTATCTACAAGCATGCACTACTTTTTTCATTTTCACTGTTTTAAACCTACTTGTTAAGAATAGAAATAATTCAAAAGTACATAGAATAAAAGATGAAAGTCTTCCCCATACATGTGTAGAAATCTCACTTCTTTTTAATAGCTATGTAATGTTCCAAAGTATGGTTATACCATTTAAAACATTATTTAATCATTAATGGGAGTTTTGGCTTCCCCACCCCCCACCAGTGTTTTAATGTTTTTCTATTTAAAGTACTGCATTATACCTTGGCACATATTATGTGATTGTTGCTGAAGGTTGGATTCTTAGAAAATTCAGCTATTAGGAAATAGGTCATGTGTATTTTAGATGCGGAGTTCATCTGTCTTATTCCAAAAAGATGTATGCAAATACCTATTGTCATTGCAGCAAATGAGAGAGCCCGTGTGGCCAAACTCTCATGAACTTTGCTTTTTTTTTGAGATGGAGTCTCACTCTGTCGCCCAGGCTGGAGTGCGGTGGTGCGATCTCTGCTCACTGCAAGCTCTGCCTCCCAGGTTCACGCCATTCTCCTGCCTCAGCCTCCCGAGTAGCTGGGACTACAGGCACCCACCACCACACCCGGCTAATTTTTTGTATTTTTAGTAGAGACAGGGTTTCTCTGTGTTAGCCAAGATGGTCTCGATCTCCTGACCTCGTGATCTGCCCACCTCAGCCTCCCAAAGTGCTGGGATTACAGGCGTGAGCCACCACGCCCTGCCGAACTTTGCTTTCTTTAACCAACTGTGGATAGCATCAACCTTGCCAAGTTTCACCACTCAGCTTAAAATGCTACCTCATCATTTTAATTTCCATTCCCTGCAACTGAGGTTGTACATATTTTCTTTTTTTGTGGGGGAGGGGGGTGGGGGACAAAGTCTCACTCTGTCACCTAGACTGGAGTGCAATGTCATGATCACGGCTCACTGCAACCTCCGTCTCCTGGGTTCAAGGGATCCTCCCACCTCAGCTTCCCAAGTAGGTGGGGCTACAGGCGCATGCCACCACGCCTGGTTAATTTTTGTACTTTCAGTAGAGACTAGATTTCACCATGTTGGTCAGGTTGGTTTTGAACTCCTGACCTCAAGTGATCCGTCCACCTTGGCCTCCCAAAGTGCTGGGATTAGGTTGTGCATATTTTCATATGATTATTAGCTATTTGTGTGTCTTGTGCTGTGAATTCCTGGTTATACTCTTTGCCCATTTTTATTTTTTGCTTTATTGATTTGTAGTAACTCCTTATGTATGTATGACATGGAAATAATTCATTGGAAAGTTATAAATAACGTTTAGGGGTGATGGGTATGCTCATTCTTTATTGTAGTGACGGTTTCACAGGTGTATACTTATGTCAAAACTCATCAAGTTGTACACTTTAAATATGTGAAGCTTATTGTATGTCAATCATATCTCAAAGCTGTTTAAAAAGAAAAGTTACAAAATTTGTAATATAAATATTGCCTCCCAGATGTCCTTTTTCTTTAGACTTCACTAACTTTTTTCTGTCTATAAAAGTTTTATAGTTACATGTCAATTATTTATATTTTGTTCTGGAGTTATCTTAGCTCTGTGACTTTGGCAAGTTACCTAACCTCCCTGTGCTTCAGTTTTCTTACATAAAACAAGGATAAGAGTACTTACTGCATAGGGTTGTTGTGAGGATTAAATGAATTAATACACATTAGAAGTTCTTAGAATGGTAATCACCACAGGACATGGTGCAATAAATACTAACTATTACCATTTTCTGTGATCTCAGATCTATCTTACTTAGGAAAACGTTCTCTGCCTCACTATTATAAGATATTTTCCTTTATTTTCTTCTGGTAATTTTATAGTTTCTAATGTTTAGTTCTTTTAGTCCATTTAAAAGTTACTCTTGTAGATTGTGTGAGAAACAAGTAAAATTGTGTTATTTTCCCAGTGGAGAGACACTTGTTCAAATACTATTTATGGCATAATCCATCATTTCTGCACTACTTTGAAACATCATCTCATTTAAATTATGCATGTCTATGTACAAGATGATTCCTACGTACAGATGTGTCATTTGCTGTGTATGTTCATTCCTCTGCTAATGCTTTCTACCGGTAAATTGGAAGAGCTTCTCTCCAATTGTAATTCTGCCATAATTATTGGTAATTTCAACATTCAAATAGACAATTTTCTGGTACCTTGGTGCTATGGTTTGAATGTTTGTGTCCCCTCCAAAATTCATAGGTTGAAACTTAATCCCCAATGTGATAGTGTTGGGAGGTGGGGCCTTTAAGAGGTAATTAAGTTAAGAGGGCAGAGCCCTCATGAATGGATTAATGCCATTATAAAAAAAGGCTTGAAAAAGTGGGTTCACTCTCTCTTATCCTCTAGCCTTCCACCACGTGATGACACAAGAAGGTCCTTGTACGATGTTGGCACCTTGATCTTGGACTTCCCATCCTCCAGAACAGTGAGCTAATACGTTTTCTTTTTTTTTTTTTTTTTGAGGTGGAGTCTGACTCCATCACCCAGGATGAAGTGTAGTGGCACCATCTTGGCTCACTGCAACCTCCGCCTCCCAGGTTCAAGCGATTCTCATGCCTCCCTCCTGGGTAGTTGGGATTACAGGCATGTGCCACCATGCCTGGCTATTTTTTGTATTTTTAGTAGAGACGGGGTTTCACCATGTTAGCCAGGCTGGTCTTGAACTCCCTGGTCTCAAGTGATCTGCCCGCCTTGGCCTCCCAAAGTGTTGGGATTACAGGTATGAGCCACTGCATGCAGCTAAATTTCTGTTCATTATAAATTACTCAGTCCCAGGTATTCTGTTATAGCAGCACAAAACAGACTGAGACACTTGATCTCTTGGTTCCTTGACTTCCTCTTTCACTACTGGTCCTCCACCCTGCTTCATCCACTCAAGGCCATCATTTTGCTATAGACCTGATCATGACCAATAGCTCTGACATCGCTATAACCTCAATGTAAGCAATTTACCTCTTAGATTGCCACCTCTAATTTTTCCAGCTCATTCCTCTTTTTCTACTCTGACAATTATTCAACCCACCAGGACCTATAATCTAATGACCTTTCTATATTTTCATTGCCCTTATATTCCACTCTAACCAGCTTATGTTCTATGGTTCATCATTGTCATTCCCTTGCACACTTCCTCAACTCTTGTGCCCTTGACCTACTTCTTCATATCACTTGGGCAACTCTCGACCATAGTTAACTCCAATTGTCCATATGCTCCCTGCTTTTCCTGTGCAACTGAATGAGTTTGGAGAAAAGCACAAGACAGGCTGACTAGTCTCATCTTATATTCATGGGCACTAAGCTCAAGTGGACCCTTGTGGTTGCAGGTAAAGCCCGTAATCCATTGACCCTCCTGTCCCATTTAACACTTTCTTATCTCTCCTCAAAAGACTTGAACAACCACTTCATAAAATAAAATATCCAAACAGCCATGAACTGTAGGAAAATATGCTCAACCTTATTGGTCATCAAGGGAATGAAAATCAAAACCGTGGTGTGGCACCATGACACAATCATCAGAATGGCCAAAATTTAAAAGGCTTATGACAGTACCAGGTGGGTAGGGAACAACTGGATTGCCCTTCTGTAGGAGTGGAAATTGGTACAAAACTTTTTTGGTGCAACAAGTAATTGTGGTTTCGAACCGTGAATTTTAAATCATTGTAACTAGACTCAAACACATTTTTATTAATCAAAATAGGAACCATTGCAATCAACACATTTTTGCCAAAGAGAAATAAATTTAATCCTGTAGCATAAAAATCTGTCCTTTGGAATTTGACAAACTCTTGGAAAGCATTTTCTGCATCCTGCTCATTGTGGATTGTCTTCCCTGCAAAACGTTGTTGAGATGTTTGAAGAAGTGGTAGTTGGTTGGTGAGAGGTCAGGTGAATGTGGCAGATGAGGCAAAATTTTGTAGTACAATTCGTTCAACTTTTGAAGCGTTGGTTGTGCAATGTGTGGTCGGGCATTGTTGTGGAGAAGAATTGGGCCCTCTCTGTTGACTAATGCCGGCTGTAGGCATTGCAGTTTTCAGTGTATATCATCACTTTGCTGAGCATACTTCACACATGTAATGGTTTCGCTGGGATTCAGAACTCTAAAGTGGATTAGACCAGACCAGCAGTAGACCACCAAACAGTGACCATAACCTTTTTTTGGTGCGAGTTTGGCTTTGGGAACTGTTTTGGAGTTTCTTCTTGGTCCAACCATTGAGCTGGTCGTCGCCGGCTGTTGTATAAAATCCACTTTTAGTGGCATGTCACAATCTGATCGAGAAATGGTTCATTGTTGCATAGAATAAGAGAAGACAACACTTCAAAATGACAATTTTTTTGATTTTCGCTTAGCTCATGAGGCACCCACTTATTGAGCTTTTTCACCTTTCCAACTTACTTCAAATGCTGAACGACCGTAGAATGGTTGACACTGAGTTCTTCAGCAACTTCTCTTGTAGTTGTAAGGGGATCAGCTTCAATGATTGCTCTCCATTGGTCGTTGTCATCTTCCAACGGCCTGCCACTACACTCCTCATCTTCAAGGCTCTTGTTTCCTTTGCAAAACTTCTTGAACCACCACTGCACTGTACATTCGTTAGCAGTGCCTGGGCCAAATGCGTTGTTGATGTTGCGAGTCATCTTCTCTGCTGCTTTACGACCTATTTTGAACTTGAATAAGAAAATCACTTGAATCTGCTTTTTGTCTAACATCATTTCCATAGTCTAAAATAAACATAAAATAAACAGCAAGTAATAAGTCATTAGCAAAATAAAAGCGAGAAATGCCCATTAAAATGATGTATAACATAACTACATTTATTTGAGAATGTATTCCAATATCAAATGGCAAATTCCGACAATGCAAAAATCTACTAAAGCCAAAACTAAACTTTCCTTATGATCCAGCAGTTTCATACATAGTTATATACCAAACAGAAATGCATACATTTGTGTACCAAAAGACATGTAGAAGCATATCCATAGTAACATTAAATACTGTAGCACAATCATTAAACAGGCCAAATGCTTATCTATCAAGAATAGAATTGGGAGGCTGAGGCGGGCAGATTACCTGAAGTCAGAAGTGTGAGAACAGCGTGGGCAACATGGCAAAACCCCATCCCTACTAAAAAATACAAAAATTAGCTGGGTGTGGTGGTGCGTGCCTGTAGTCCCAGCTACTCGGGAGGCTGAGGCAGGAGAATCACTTGAAACCAGGAGGCAGAGGTTGCAGTGAGTCGAGATCACACCACTGCACTCCAGCCTGGGTGACAGAGTGAGACTTCGTCTCAAAAACAAAAAACAAACAGAAGAATAGAATGGATATGTAAATTGTGGAATAATCATACAAGGATATGCTATATGTCAATGAAAATGAATGCACTGTCGCTACATTTATCCCACAAACAACGTTGAGTAAAAGAAGTTATACTATATTATTCTACTATATAAGTTTCAAAGCAGACAACAATTAACTTATGGTTAGAAGAGTGGTTACCTTTGAGAAGGAATGAGTGGGTAACACCTGAGAGGGAGCATGTGGAGTCTCTGGGATGCTGGCAATGTCTTTTTTCCTGATTTAGGTAGTGGTTACATTAATATGTGAACTTGTGAAGACTTCCTGTGTTGTACATTCATGATCTGTGCACTCCTTTCTATGTATGTTACACTTTAACAAAAAGTTATTATATATGTGTGCATGCATATATGTGTAGTATGTACGTATGTATATATATAATGTTTTTATATTCCTCTCCCCACTTGGAAATGACCCACTTTAATTTCCAGCTATTATGTCATTTATCTCCTTCACTTTACAGCCAAACTTTACAAATTTGCTAATGTTTGCAGTCTCCAAGTTCTTAACCCCAACATTCTCCTGAAATTGCTCTTGTCAGGGTCACTTACCAATGACCTCCATATTGCAAAACTCGCTGGTCAATCTCAGACCTTACTGTACTTGACCCGTCAGCAGAATTGGACACATCCAACCCCTCTCTTAGGCACATCTTCCTCATTTGACTTTCAGGATGCCACTCTTCTGGTTCTCCTCTTACCTCTCTGGACTCTCTTCTCAGACCCCTGTGCTAGTCTCTCTTCATTTCCCAGGCCTCTAAATATTGGTTTACTCCAGGGTTCAGTTCAGTTCAGGACCTCTTCTCTATCTTGCTCCATTAATGTCATCGATGGTCATACAGCTTCTACCTCTACACTGATAACTCCCAAATGTATACCTGCCTCTCAAATAAATCTCTTTCCTGAGAGGCCTCATATATATAATTTCAACTTGATGTTTAATAGGCATCTCAAACCCAGCATCCTGAAGAAAACTCCTCATATCCTCCTATCCCCTCAAATCTGCACCTCCTCACTAAGGGCTGACTCTGTTCTTCTAGGTGCTCAGGTCAAATACCTTGCAGTCATCTCTGACTCTTCTCTTTCTCTTACTTCCGAAATCCAGTCTATAAGCAAATCATTAGTCTCTACCACTTCTTATCACATCCACAGCTGTTACTCTGGGGCAAGCCGCCTTCATTGCTCTCCTGGACTGTTACATTCACCCCCTAACAGGTCTCCCCCTTTCTATCTTACCTCCTTCTTTCAGTCAGGATCCACCCAGGAAAACAGAAGCCATTCCATGAAGGGATGCAGTACTGGAAACTGGTTACAAGGTGACAGAATTGCTGAGATGCCAAACAGGGGAGGGGAGGCCACCCAGCGATCACCAACAGCAGGAAGTGGTGACCACCCCTAGGCTGTAGAGATAACAGGAAAAGGTGGCGTTACCCACACCCAGGGGCCAGAGGGACTCTGAAAGAAGCAGAAACCCAGGCAGGCCTCTTTAACAGGAGCTGGAGGCAGCAAGCAGAGACCAGGAATGCCTGGCTGCAGAAAGGAGGGAGGAAGAGCCAAGACTCCCTTCTCCCAGCCCTCTCATCTACTTTGGCCTCTCATTGGCCAGATGCTGTCAAACGGCAGTGGACACAGGATCCCTGGAAACAGGCCACAGGGTCAGTTCCCTGCCATAGAGCAAGAGAAGGGTAAGAAATGGATCCAAACAAAGACGCCAAGGGCTAGCACCCAACCCCAGCCATAGAATGCTCTTCCCCAGGGGATTCAGGTCTTGTGAGGGCTTAAGCACATGACATTTTTTATGGCCCTCACTAATAGTTAAAAAATGAAAAACAGTAAATTAGGCATGAAGGTAAATATCTATTTAAGATGAAAAAGAAATCACAGAAAATTACAAAATTTTTAAAAGCAGGCAATACCACAAATATCTTACCTAATCCGGAAAAAAGAACATAGTCTTTTTAATTTATTAATTTATTAATTGCTTGATGTATTGCTATATTACTTCTTCCCTTATATTTTTTGCCTTCATATTCTTTCATCACTTGTTTGTATGACATGATTTGTAATCCTTTTTTTTTTTCTTTTTTTGAGACAGAGTCTTAGTCTGTTGCCCACGCTGGAGTGCAGTGACGCGATCTCAGCTCACTGCAACCCCTGTCTCCCGGGTTCAAGTGATTCTCCTGCCTCAGCCTCCAGAGTAGATGGGATTACAGGCATGTGCCACCACACCCAGCTAATTTTTGTATTTTTAATAGAGACTGGGTTTTGCCATATTGTATTGGCCAGGCTGGTCTCTAATTCCTGATCTCAGGTGATACACCCACCTCGGCCTCCCAAAGTGCTGGGATTATAGGTGTGAGCCACCATGCCTGGCCTGTAATACATTTTTTAATAGAAAGAATACAAAAGTTTCCTCTACTGTAGTTGATTAAAGTTCATTTTTAAAATTATTATTATTAATAGCTTAGAAAAGTTTCCTCTACTTTCACAATTTGTTAATGGCAAAGTTGGATAAATTTTTAGAATTGTCAAACCTGAGAGAGCTCTATCAAGATTCTTTTATATATGAGCGGTAAGATTTCTGGGCTTTTCAAGTTTTCTTGTGCAGTGACTACTAATTTAAAAACTTCTGTGAGCTGACAACACTCTATTAAAGCTCTCACATCAATATCCTGTCGACAGAGTGGGCGGTGGGAGGGTTCCTGGAAGCCAATCTTGCTCCAGGATAGCTGGTAATAACTTCCAATAACATGGAAAGAGCTGTGAAACACACAAATATATCTCAGTAAACTCCAACTAAAGGTATCCCCAGCTCAATTTTTTCTAACTGGATCCCAAAAATATCTGTACCCACTCCAGCACCAAGAGAAGATATGGTAGAAAAGTCAAGAAAGAGATCAAGTGGTCTTAACTAATTGTGGCTAAGATATCTTACTTTCGTAAATTTTACAAAACATATGACCACCTGATTGCATGACTGGGGTCTTGGAAGGGATCCGTGCAAGCATAGAGTTCTGGGATTTGGGCTTCATTAGCTTTATGGTGAATTCACCCCGGTCACCCACAGCAGACAGTGGTGCTTTTAAAATGTAAGTCAAATTGTGCACCACTCTGCTCTAGGCTCTCAAAAGGCTTGGTGTCTTGTCCAGTGTAAAAGCCAAAGCCCTCACAATCACTTCTCAGGCTCACCGTGGGCTGGCCTCATCCCCATCACTCCTTGCTGACCCATCTCCTGGTCCCTCCTCCTGACTCTGCTACTCAGAGCACCTTGCCCTTTTGCTGTTCCTCTAGCATTCTTACCACGGGGCCTTTGCTCTTGCTTTTCTCTCCATCTGAAACCCGATTCTCCCAGATACTTGCTTATATTGCGCCTGCTCTTCCCTCAGGTCTTCATTCAAATATTACCTTCTGTATTCATCTCCAACTGCGGCTATAGCAAATTACCACAAATTTAGTGGCTTAAAACAACACAGATTTATGATCTTATCATTTCAGAGATCCGAAGTCCAAATTGGGTTGACAAGGCTGCATTCCTTCTGGGGGCTCTAGGGTAGAATCCATTTTTGTGCCTTTTCCAGTTTCCAGAGGTCACCCACATTCCTTGGCTCATGGCCACATCGCTCTGATCCTGACTCTCCTGCCTCCTTCCTTTCCCTTGTAAGGATGCTTGTGATTGCATGGAGTCTAGTTGGATAATCCAGGGTCATCTTTCCCCTTGAGATCCTTAACTTCCTTATACCAGCAGAGTTTCTTTTGCCATGTTGGGCAACATGTTCATAAGCTCTGGGGATTAGGATATGGACATCTTGGGGTTTGGAGGCACATTATTCAGGGTACTGTATCTTCCAAGTAGAACACTCCCTGACCATCTGATATGGTTTGGCTCTGTATCCCCACCTGTATTAGCCAGGCATTAGTCCATTCTCATGCTACTAATAAAGACATACCCAAGACTGGGTAATTTATAAAGAAAAGAGGTTTAATTGACTCACAGTTCCACATGGCTGGGGAGGCCTCAGGAAACTTACAATCACAGCAGAAGGGGAAGAAAACACATCCTTCTTCACATGGCGGCAAGAGGAAGTGCTAAGCAAGGGGAAAGCCCCTTATAAAACCATCAAATTTTGTGAGAACTCACTCACTATCATGAGAACAGTATAGGTGTAACCATCCCCATGATTCAATTACCTCTTACGAGGTCCCTCCCACGACATGTGGGGATTATGGGAACTGCAGTTCAAGATGAGATTTGAGTGGGGACACAGCCAAACGATATCACCACCCAAGTATCATGTTGAATTGTAATCCTCAGTGTTGGGGGAGGGACCTGGTAGGAGGTGACTGGATCATGGAGGCAGATCTCCCCCTGGCTCTTCTCATAATTGTAAGTTCTCACGAGATCTGGTTGTTTGAAAGTGTGTAGTACTTCCCTCCTTGCTCGCTGTCTCTCCTGACAGCCATGTGAAGAGCATGCCTCCTTCCCCTTCCCCTTCCGCCATGATTGGAAGTTTCCTGAGGACTTTCAAGTAGCTGATGCCTGTACAGCCTGCAGAACCATGAGCCAATAAGCATCTTTTCTTTATAAATTACCCAGTCTCAGGTATGTCTTTATAGTAGTGTGAGAATGGACTAACATACCATCCCTTCAAAATGCTGGGCATAGTGGACATCTTATCTTGTCCCTGCCTGAGAAAGAATGCTTGCTTTCTGGGGCTCACAGATATGTATGTTTTGCTGCAGTTATAGACCTTTATCAGTTGGGGTCCTACCAGACAAACAACCACTAGGACATACATATTAAGAGATTTATTTCAAGAATTGGTTTATATGATTGAGGAGGCTGGATAGGCATGTCCAAAACTTATAGGGCAGGTGGTCAGGAAGGTCCTGAGCTGTAGCTGTAGTCCAGAAGTTGAATTTCTTCTGGAAAGTCTCAATACTGCTCATAAAGGCTTTCACCTGATTGATTCAGGCTCACCCAGATTGTCTAAGATAATCTCGCTTAATTAAAGTCACCTGATTATGAACTTTACTTACAGCTATAAAATATTCTCACCACACCTAGGTTAGTGTTTGATTGAATAACTGGGACTATAGTTTAACCAAATAGACTCATAAAGCTGACCATCTCTGGATCCTTTATCTGGCTAAGGAAGCTTATTACAATTTTTTAAGCCATCTATAGAGAAGATAATTTAGTATTCTCTCTTTAATGTATCACTATAGTAAATTTTAAAAATAAAATTTTGTTTGTAATGTTAAGATCTATGCTAAATTCTTGGGATATACACCTATTTGCTCATGATTTATTTGTTTTATAATGTATAGCTAAATTAACTTTGCTACCATTTTATTTATGGGTCATATATTTATGTAATTGTGATTGGGCTATACTTTCTCGTGTGTGTTATCTTTGTTCCACATTGGTATGTCAGGGTTAGTGGCTTCAGCTGAAAATGACAATCCTGGCTGATTTAAACATTGGTTCATGGAGCTGAAGGGTATGGGGGGAAAGTGTACTTCAGGCGTGGTTGCAGTCAGGGCTCAAATGCTGTAATCAATGCTCATTTTTCTCTCCATCTCTTGGTTCTGCTTTCCCTTTATGTCCACTTTAGTCTCAGACTACACAAGGCAGGCAAATGGCTATTCCAGGATCTACTGCCTTAGTTTCAAGAGCAACTTTTTTTCCAGAAGTCACTGAAAAACCTCTTGGGTTTCATTACCCTTGGTTGGATTACATGCCCATCTCTGAATCATTCACAGTGGTGGGGAAAAACAAAGCTTGTTGAGGGTTGTGGGCCCAGTTCTGGAACTAGGAGTGGTGTCAACTTCCCTGGAAATACATAGACACAGAGTGGGGTACAGTGGGTTCCCTCCAAGGAAAATCAGGGTGTGGTTACTCGAAGGATGAATTAACACTGAGGAGCAAAAACAACAGATGCCTACTACAGTTGTGCTAGCCCAGCAGAAGGGATTGGGAAGTTTTCTGCCTTTGTTTTGAGCTCAGTAACAATTTAAATAACAGAATGTATTTGTTCCCAGAAGGTTTGATACAACTCGCCCTTAAGTCCATTCTGGGACTGATATCATTTTTAGAAGTAGATCTTTGCTGATTTGATTTTTTTAAAATGGTTATTAGTACTTTTACCTCTTCGTGAGCCATAAGGGGAATGACTAAATGAAAGAGCCAGCATTTGGTTTTATTTACCAAGTCTACATTTGTTTCTTGTTTCATTAATTTTGCTTTTATCTCAACTAATTCCTTCTTTCTATAGTTTTTTTCCTTCTAGTTTTCTTTTTCCCAGCTACTTGGATTCAATTCCTCTTTCCTGTTTTCTAATACATATGTTCAAGGCTACACATTTTCTACAAATACTGCATTGGCCTTGACAATTGGTTTCATCACAGGGTGCTGTCAGTAGCATTCATTTATAACATAATCTGTTGTTTTAATTCTGAGTTTCTCTTTAACCCAAGAGTTATATAGAATGGTGTTTATAAATTTCCAAATTGTTATCATATTGGTTTGCTACTCTTTTGTCATTGATTCTAGCTTTTTACATTGTAGTCAAAAAATGCAGTCCATATGTTTTTCACTTTTTGGAATTAAGATTTTACTTGTAGTCAGTTTTAGTGAATTGTCCATTTTTGTAAATGTGCCATAGATATTAAAAATGAATGTGTAAAGGTGTATCTTTGGTACATTGTTATATAAATCTCACACCAAAATTTTAAATTACTGTATTCAAATTATCCTATCACTTCACTTATTGTTTACTTGATCTATCAATTTCTGGGGAGGCATATTGTAAAAATCAAGTATCACTGCAAGTTTCACTTTCTCTTTGTTGTTCTAAAGCTGCTTGTCTCTATATTTTAATACTCCATTGTTTACTATGAAACTCACTTCATTGTCATAACTTCTTGGTAGATTGTACGTTTTATAAAGTCTCCTTTGTTCCATGTAGGGTTTTCATTTTGATTCTATTTAATCTGATATTAATATTTCTATGGCTTCATTATATTTTGTTAGCATATATTAATTTCTCATTCTTTTTTTTTTTTTTTTTTGGAGACGGAGTCTCACTATGTCACCCAAGCTGGAGTGCAATGGCGCAGTCTTGCCTCACTGCAACCTCCACCTACTGGGTTCAAGCGATTCTCCTGCCTCAGCCTCCTGAGTAGCTGGGATTACAGGTGTGCACCACAACACCTGGCTAATTTTTGTATTTTTAGTAGAGACAGGGTTTCACCATGTTGGTCAGGCTGGTCCCAAACTCTTGACCTCGTGATCCGCCTGCCTTGGCCTCCCAAAGTGTGTGAGCCACCACGCTCGGCCTCATTTTTCATTCTTTTAATCATTTTGTATCGTATTGTTTTAAATGTGACTTTAAAAAATATCTGCATTGTGTGTTGACCTGAGCATATACACATCTACTTATGGATGTTGGTGAGGGTTCTTCCCTGATTCTGAGAGTCTCTGTAGTTTAATAGGAGAGTTGAATCCATTAACTTTTATTACAATCTCTGATATGTTTGAATGATTCCTCTGCTTTTTGTTTGATTGATCAAATTTTCTTTATTTCTGTTTTTCTCTATTTGTTGGCAAATTATATATTTGTATGACACACCTATTACACTATTACACTAATAGTATGCATTATAGTATTTTATTTTTCTAGCGTCTTACATTTTAAATAGAGTTATTTAATTGTTTTTCTTCCAATAGTGTCTTAAATCTCCTCCTACTGCTCATACTTTGTTGAAACTTTAGTTACAAATGTTATTTTATTTTATCCCTATACTTTTAAAAGAAATCATTTCTTAAACACTGTATGAGGTTTTATAGATCCATTTTCATGTATTATTCAGATTTTAGATATTTACTGGTTTCTTTCAAATTTTTGTAACCCTATGAAATTCTGTTTCTCGGATTTCTTTTTTGTTTTCCTGCAGTACCTAATTATTTTTTCAGAAGCAGTGCATGGATAGTAAATTTTCTTTGTCCTTTATTATCTGAAAATATCTTGGATTCGCTTTCATGCTTGATAGTTTGGCTGATATAGAGTTGTAGGTTCAAAATAAGCAGAAGCATTGAGAATTTTGTTTTTATTTTGTAATTTAGAAATGTCACCAGGATGTGTGTCTTTTCAGTGTTTTCTGCTTAGCATTTGGTGGGTCTTTTTATAGTTTGAGGACTCAGATCTTTCTCTAGCTCTGCAATATACTTTAAAAATTATATTTTAAATTATTTTATCACCTCTAGTCTCTCTGTTATCTCAGCCTAGAACCCCATAAGGCAAATAGTAGGTCTTTAATTTCTCATATTTTGTATTTCTTTGTAATTTCACTCTACCTTCTAGGAGATTTCCTTGACTTTGTCTTCGTGTTTTTAATTTTCAAGGATTAAAATTTGTTAGCTTCTCTTCCATAACAATCTACTCTTATTTTATTAAAGCAAATTTCTTTTGGGTCTCTGGGAGGATATGACCTAGAACTCCTTTAAAGTTCCCTTCTGTCTCCCACATTATCTCCATTTCCTCCAGGATGAATCATTCTGGTTTTTCATCTTGGTCTTTCTCATATTCTTGATTTGCTTCCAATATCTGGTGATCCATAGTGGTCATTCAGATTTATAAATTAAAAACTAGGTGGACAAATGTATTTAAGAGACTGGCGTCAGTTTCTTTCCTAGTTGTGTAGACTTGCTTCCAGGATGGGTCTTTTCCTTGAAGGGAGGCTGCCTGCAGCTCTGTGCCAGGGAGAGTGGGAGGAAGAATGAGGGAACAGCACACAAGCAGGCCTCTCGATTGCCAAAGTCAGGCAGACTTTACTCTGTGTGTGAGGTCCTGAGCAGCACTGTGTCATTGGCTTTGCTTTTTCCCCCTTTTCTAGCATCCATTGCAGGAATTTAGCTCAGTTCTGCTTCTCTGGCCTCAACACCCAGATAGTCATCCCTCCTATATCAGCTGTCTAGTGCCACGTAACAGAATTCCCCATAACTTAGTGCCTTAAAACAACAATAATTTATACTTCTTTTGATTTGATGAGTTTCCTGGACTTGTTCTTCTGTTCCATGTGGCATTGGCTTGCCTTACTCATGGTGCTGCATTCAGCTGGCGGCTGGATTGTGTGGAAAGGCCCAAGGCTTCACACACGTGTTTGGGGCCTTGGTGCTGGCCGTCTGCTGAAGAACCTAGTTTCTCCACTAGGTGGCCTCTTTTTCCACATGGCTTTTTAGCCTCCAGGAGGCTAGGGTGGGCTTCCTTACAGACGATGGCCAGGTCCCAAGAGGACAAGCCCCAGTGTGCACGTGCTTATCCAGCCTCTGCTTGCATTATGCTTGCTAAGGGCCCGTTGACCAAAGCAAGTGAAATTGCCCATTACAAGGTCAATGTGTAGGGGACTCCACAAGGCTGTGAATACTAAGAGATTTGGTTCATTGCCACCAGTGTAACCATTTACTACACTTCCTAAGGTGATCTTCCATTTTGCTCAGAACGCAGTTCACCAGGCTTCAAGATCAGAGACAAAAGCCACAGCCAGGCATTGCATGTATGTTGGGAGAGGAAGAGGCTAGCTGGCCCATTGGCTTATTCAATAGTCCTTACCTGATGGTCGTGCTGTGGCCTGCTCCTTCTCCCCTGTACTTGGAGTTTCTCCAAGGTTCTGTTGAAAAGAACAGTTTACATCTCCTTAGCCAATTTCTTCTGTGCTGATTTAACCATTCTGGTTTCCTCTGTAGATTTGATTCTCTCTGCTTTTTATCTTCTAGAAAGTCCTTAAAATTTTCTGATTGACAGATGCTGCAATTTCTAGTTTGGGATGGAGGGCTTATATGAATGTATTCATTTTATGTCTCTGTTATTTCAAGGAAATATGTCTTGTAAAAAGGAAAAGAAAGCAGTGAGATTCCTGTCACTATAGGTCTGCTCTCACACGACAGGAATGCTAAAGGGAGGTGGTGGTTAGACTAGATGACTCTTGCTTTTTGCCAGTTCTGAGATGTTGGAGACGCCATAGCTTCAGCCATTTCTTCCTCAGGATTCCAGGTTGATGGAGCTAAACCTGATCATTGTGATTCAAGCACCTGCTGGGACCAGAACTGAGAACTCTGGAGCTGGCTTTTTAGATCATCGAATTCAGACTCTTGTGTTGCAGTTAAGCTATGGGAACAAAGGTCATCCAGCAACTCAGCTGCAGAACTGGGGTTGGAACATGGGCCCCCGGACTCCTGATCCCATGATCTTCCCTGCATCTTGCTCCAGTTTGCACTTCTGAGCACCCCTTAGAGAAGCCCAGGGTCTTACTTCTTGAGTGGGATCAGGCTGTGTCTCCACCCCAGGATACTCAGGGTTGAAGGACTTGAGGCTAGAATTGCCCCCAATGAGACAGATGTCTGTCTGGCCCCTCCTCCCAAAAGGCGATTATTTGAGCTAGAGACGCCAGCCGCGTTTGAATCCTAGATTCTCTTTCTCCCTCCAGCGCCCTCTCTCTCCCACTCGGTTATCTATTTACCTATCTATTTACGTGAGCTACCCCCCACCCCAAATGAATTACGTCTGCAAGGCAGTAAAATGTTATGTATTTGCAAGGCCCATAATCTTTAAAAGCCCAGTGATGCCAGCTCCAGACAGCAGCGAGCTCCCTCCAGTATGTTAATAGATAGTATTAGGGCAATAATGAAAACACTTGAGACAAGTAAGCTCCTATCAAAAGCTGAGTAATAGGGCTTTGCCGAGTGAATCACAATGCAGAAGAGATTAAGACGTCTGCCGTTGTGCAGTGTCTATTCAGACTAACAGCTGCTCTGTTTCTGATTAAAATGGGGTTGGGGAGACCTTTTCGAGCGAGTCCCCTTTTTATCCTGCACTGTCCTCACCCTTCCCACCTCCACCTCCAAGCACAGGCACCTTTATTTGCACTTAACTACTGCCATTCATAAACACACACACACACACACACACACACACACTGGAGTCTCAATCATGCATTGCATCATCACACACACGGAGCCTCAGAAGCACACACAGCCATTAGCCGACACACAGCTACACCGATATATCCAAGCACGTACACACAGTCACATCCTCACACACCGGTGCACAGTCACGCATGCAACCAGTCTCTCACACACTCATGGCCTCAGCCAGTCTCACACGCGCATTAAATTACAATCTGTCACAAACACAGTCTCACATATGCATTAAATTGCAATCTGTCACACATATACTCTTCACACACAGTCACAACCAGACACTCAGAGACAATCTAATCAGTGTCAAAAACGCACACATACCTGGCTGGTCATATCCACGTATGGCAAGTCCTTCATGTGCAAAATCACACTTGCACACTCACACTTGTGATGACTGTTTGTCATATACACACAGCCCTTCACTCACAGACTGTCATGTGCTCTCTTACCCACACACAGTCACCTTCATAAATAATCACACATGGCCATGTGCTCACTCACACATGGCCACAGCCCAGGCTCATATGAAGTCATGCTTTTCCTGCACCAAGATACAGAGCTAGTCTGCACACCTGCAACTCCCCAGCCACAAGTGTGCATGGAGTGCAAGGCACAAATACATATAGGCACACAGGCACAGACACCACTCTGCACACCCTCCAGGTGGTGACCCAAGATGCGAGACTTGACTATGAGCCCGATGGATGGCCCCGAGCTGGTTCAGCAGCCTCATAAAAAAGAAAATCCTCAGAGGTCAGGCATCAAGGTCACCATTCTCCCATCTCTGCAAGGCTGTAGTGTGAAGGGAGAAATGGAATCGTCTCTGTGGAGCCTAAGAGCACAGAGCTCTGACCTTGATTGGAACTGCAGATTTAGACCTAGGAGAACGCAGAGCTGTCCAAGAATAAGATGGCCAACTTCAAGAGAGTGAGTGCCCCATCAGTGGAGGTGTGCACAGGGATGCTGGATAGTCACTTGGTAAAGAGGACGAGAAGGGACTCCTGCATTGTACAGGAGTGACCTGGATGCCCTGGAGATCTGTCCCAGTCCAGATTTTGTGTCCTGAGGTCTGTGTATCCTCTTCCTCAACCCCTGTCCCATCAGTGACTCCCTTCCTCCAGCCCAATTCTCTAGACAGAAGCCAGGAGTCCCGGCCTTCTGCTTCTCTCCCTTATGTGATTTTTCTTCCAAGATCATCTTTAAGGTGATGATTCCATTTTTTTTCCCCAAACCTCCATGGCCCTTGCTCTAGGCTAAGAGGGAGATGCAGGCTAGAATCAACTCTTCTGCCTTCTGTGCTCTCACAGCCATTGCCCACCCCCACCCCACCCTGCACTGCTAGAACACAGCCCATCTCTCTTCCAGCCTTGGGGCTGGGTCAGGCGGGGTGGGAGTGCTCCTCAAGGGGATGGGAGTGGGAGGGGCCCAGAGCTGAGTTGAGAGGCCAAGTGGTCAGGAAGGAGAACCCGCTCCTGGCAGAGCAGACCCAAAGGCATAGGAGCTCAGATTCAACTATGGTGCCGATTTGGGGGCTGGAGATTGAGCCTGAAGGAGCTGCCTAGAGTGGGGTCCATTGGCTGAGGTTGCCTGAAGTGGAGGAGCTTGTTCTGTGGCCCAGAAAGCCAGGATCCTGAGACATCTCGTTGTCATGCCAGACCCTTATTAAATCCAGTAGGGATGGCGCCAGGTTCAAGAGGCCAAGGAAGAGACTCAGAGCCAGCCAACAAGACATGGGGTTTAATTAGTGGGAACTTACACACAGAGCAGACCAGCAGGGTGGGTTAGATGGAGAACCACACCACCTGTGAAAAGCATGCAGTTTATATAGCACCTTCCCTTAGCACCCTCCCCTTAACAACCTCCACCTGGCCACCTTCATTTAACCCAAAACAAAGGGCCTGGGTACCCTGTAGGGCCCGCATTCCATGGGACAGGCTGGGAGTTTAGATGTTCCTCATAGATAAAAATGAATCACTGGGTTGGCCACTCCCGGATTCCTTAGCTCAGAACTCCAAACACACATTCGGGTATGTCTCCCACACGGGGTAATTCTCCGGGTATGTTTAAGTGATGCTACTGCTGTCGGGTGTGTCTGCCATACACTCTTACAATGGAAGCAGGACCAGGATAGGACTGCAATGGGGGTAGGTTCAGAACAAGCTGTGGGTGTCCAGCATGCTGGCCAGGAGCTTGGTTGGACCTTTAGGGGCCTGTGTGAAGGACTGAATGACTGCCTTAAAGTGTCAGCGCTTAAGTGGATTCCAAGGGTCATGTCCAGAAGATCAGATGGCCAGAAACAAGAGAATTAAGAAGTGAGGTCAGAAACCAGAGACTTAAAACCTAGATGGCCAGGAAGAGCCCTTTGGACATAAGCTGATTTTCTTTCCATGGGGCCTGGTAGGATCTGGGATCCAAGAGCTTGTCAGGGCACTTAAAGGAATCTTACAAGGATGGCAGATACCATTATCGTGTGTTCCACTTCCCCATCCTCTGTGTCTTTCCCCCATTAGACAGGAGTCTCTCTGGGAAAGACCTTGTTTTATGCCTTTGGAGTCTCCCTTCTATGCTTCTCACAGTACCTGGCACAGAACACATCTCAGCAGGCTTTGTGACAGTTGAATTCTGCCTCTTGACTCTGTAGCTGTGGTCTAGACTCAACCTTCAGGCTCCACTGGTCTCTGAGGCCCACCTCCCTCTACAGCCATCATTATCTGACTCACCAGCAGTGGGTCTCCTCCCTAGTTCCCAGGACTGATCCTTCCTGGCCTGAGGCTGGAGGGGGTTAGGGGACCCAACCTGGCCCTGGATGCTGGACCCCAAGGCCCCTTGGCTGTTGCTGAACTGGGATCACCTTATTCTCTACCCATGTGGCCAGGTCCCATTCCAGATTCCATCTAACGCCCCAGTTCTGTTGATGGATTTTCAGTTTATTCTGTTTGTTCATTCAACAAATATTTACTCCTCGTCATTATCAGCCAGTTCTAAATCTTCATCTTACCTGAGCTGTCATTATCCTTAAGGCAGATGATCACCTCCTCCCTGAACCCTTTCAACTAGGGCACCGCACTGGCCTGGTTTTTCTCTTCCCTTCCTGACCAAACCCTCTCAGCCTCTACTGTTGGTTCCTCCTCAGCTCCCTCCTTCTTAATGTTGCAGTCGGTGCCACAGGTTCAGTCCTTATCCCTCTTCTCTTGGCCTACCCTCACTTCCCAGGGGATCTCCTCCAAGCTCATGGTTGAAGGACTCTCTCTCTGCCAGTGACTCTCAAGTCTCAGGTGCATTTCCTCAGCACACACCTCTGCCCTGAGCTCCAGACTGCGCATCCATTGGTTTGCTCATTTCCACCTGGATGGCTATAAGGTATCTCAGACTTTAACCAAACCCTGGATTTCCACCCCTAACCTTTTTCTCCCATAGTCGACTCAAACTTGACAAGTGGCAGCTCCATAAATGGTAACTCTTCAGTGACTCTCACCAAAGACCTAGGAGTTACCTCTCAACTCCTCAGGAAACTCAGTCCAAGCCACTATGATCTCTTGTCTGGGTCACTGCTGTGGCCCCACTCTTGTCTCCCTGCTTCTGCCTTTGTCTTCATCTCCCCTCAACAGCCTCAGATTGGAGGCTCTGCCACTTGCCCTGTTCTCACCTGCCGTGCCAGCCACAGACTGACGGTCTTGGCCCAGTGCTTTTCCCTTTCTCCTGGGTCAGCCCTGACCTCTCATTCCCATAGGCCTGGCTCCTGTTCCTACAACACTAGACCTCCTGATGGTGACATCAGCTCAGAAGTGACACAGACAACTCTTCTGTTCCTACCCATGCTATCTCTTCTATCTGTCCTCTGTCACTGCAGATCCAGTATTTTTGTGTCCACACTTAGTAGTCCTGAGGAAAAAAAAAAAAAAAAAAAAAAAACAGCCAGGCCTAAATCTCTAGGCCCTTGGCCAATATCTGGGGCTCAAGAGCCTGCCAGGAGCTGAAGGTCATGGGGCTGGGGATGCCAAGAGGGTGGGGTATTTCTTTTCTGTTAGGCTTTCACATTCCCTGTCTCCTTTAATTTCCCCCAGATCCCTGTGAGGCAGGAATAATTTCCCCTCCTGTGGGTGAGGGGAAGGAGAAAAGAGAACTCACTTGACCACAGCTGCACAGTTAGTTGGGATCAGAACCTGAGCCACCTGGCCCCATGCTCCTGAAGCTTTGACCTCCATGGTCATTAAAGACCAAGTCATATTCCTCCCACCCTTCATACCTCCCCCTCCTCATTTTTCATTTACAGAAGAGGTCACTGAAATCCAGAGGTGGGGAGGGCCTTTCCCAAAGTCACAGAGTGGCTCAGTGACTGGGCCTGAAGGAGTCCCAGGCCTCCAGGCACTGCTGTTCCCCAGTGGCCCAGAGGCAGGACGGGCACACACCCCAAGGCCGGCCCTCCCCCCACATGGCTCAGTTCCTGCCTCCCAGACTGAGGTCTGGAGCCCTAAATAGAACAAGCACCACCGTCTCCCTTCTCAGGGAGGGGAAGCCAGCTGTGGCAGTTGTGGCAGGCGGAGAGAAATTTTCCCTTTCTGTAGATTGGATCAGTCACTCTCAGAATTGATGGCAACGGCTTCATCACAAAGATCTAATGCTTTAATTATGTTGTGACATGACCTGACATGGGGGTGGCATTTGATGGATTCTCTGGTGTCATCAGCATGGCCCTGACATAGGAAAGTGGCAGAAGGCAGGGGGTGGGGAAGAGGAAGGGCTCTCAGTGGGAGACGTGTCCTTCCAGGGCCCCCTACCTTCCCCTGCTCTCTGTCTTCCAAGGCAGTCCTGCAGTAGTGGAGACTCAGGAGAGGAGGGGGAGCAGCCCCTGTGCAGGGGAGGGTGGCTGCGCCCTTCCGGGATGGACTGGATCCTGGGGGCCCCGTAGGAGTGCATGTGTGTGTGTACCTGTGTGCATGTGCCTAGATACACAGGGACATGTCGGAGCGGGTGAGAGGGATTCAGACCCATGTGGTAGAAGTAACAGCTGCACTGCTGTCTGGCCTGCAGAGGACTAGGAGGTGGAGGCCAGGGCAGGACACCTGGCTGGTCTGCATGTCCTGGGCTGTCGTGAGCAGAAGGAGCAGATGTACTCAGGCAGCCTGGGAGCAGGCTTAGCTCAGCAGAGAGAGGGCTCCCTGGCCAGGGAATGCACAGCTTTAAAAGGCACTGAGCAAATGTCTCTGGGAAGGACTGAGGGGTTGCTACAGAGCAGATCTTTTCCCTTGGTGGGCACTTGGTGACTCCCTACCTCTGGGGCTAGGATTGCATGTATCTGTGGGTGAAGGGGTTTGCCTCCCTCTTTTCCTCCCACCCCAGCTGCCTGCTCAGAGCCTTATGGGGCCTTCGGTGTGGCAAGAGTGAGAAGCAGGCTGCCGCCACCCGGCCAAGCTCATTTCCAGGATGCTGGCACACGCGCCCCTCCTCTGTCCGCCTTCCCATCCGTTCCTGTGGCAAGCTCTTCTTCCCCAAGGCCGGTGGGCTCTAGGGAGTCCCACTTCTCTGCCAGCCAAGTGAGAACGCAGGCTTGAAGGGGAAGGAGGAAGAGAGACTTGTTGGCGGGGCTCCCGCTGGGTCGAGAGCAGTGCCTTCTGGAGGGATGCAGCGTCTTGAGGAATCCTCATGACTACAGATAACAGGGGGTGAGCTGGTATCTCTCTCTTACACTGGAGGACAGTGAAGCTCAGAGACACGAAATTGCCTGCTTAAGACTACACAGCTAGGAAGGAGTGAATTGGTTTCAATTTAGCAAATGTTTGTTAAGTGACACCTGCACACCAGGCCCTGCCGAAGAAGTTGCAGGTCCAGACCCTGTCCTCAAGCAGCACAGCATGCCCGCAGCTGTCCCTGATTCCGATGACGCTGCCCCTTCCACTGCTCTGCTCTGCCTTTGCCAGGGGTGTCTGTGGTCAGCAGCCCAGGGTGGGGGGAAAGCATCAGAGCAGGTGACCAGGGAGTGGGGTCTGGCTCTGGCGCCTCAGTCACCAGTCCTGGTCTTTGGGGAAAGTACAGTTTGAGAAATATAAGACCGGAGGGTCCTTTCAAGCTCAGTTTAGTGCTCTCCTCCCGCCCCATCCCCATGGTGCAGAAGAAGAAATTGAGGCCCAGAAAAAAGACTAGATGGGCCCAGGGTCACCCAGGAAATTAGAATAGGAGCCAGGATTTCGACCTGGTTCTCCTGACTCCTGGGTCAAACTTGACCATGGCTGTACCCAGGGGCCGGTGCTACCAGGCATGGTCAGGAAAGGCTTCCAGGGGAGCCTTGCATTTCTTCTAGAAAGATAAGTTAAAGAAAGACCAGTCAGAAAGGAAACTCCCAATGCCTGGGAAGGTTTCACAGCCTGAAGAAAGCTCCACAAGCCCATGCTCATTCCTAAACCCACCCCAACCCAGCCTCAGAGAAGGGTGTGGGAGGAGGCCTGACTGGTGAGGCCCGAGGTTGCTTGCTGCTGGGGCTGTGTCTCAGAGATGTCAAGGTGGGGAGAAGGCAGGAGCTGTGCCTTGATTGGTCTCTAAAATCCCCTGCAGGACTGGATGCTCGAAAGTGATGCTTGAGCAAGACAGGAGAACAGAAGGGCCTCCCTGATATAGAAGCAGCCGCAACATGTGTCTGGACATGCACAGAAGCAGGTGCTTCTGTGTGTAGCCTGGGAACTGACTGTCCCCGGGTGGCAGGAAGACTTTTTTAGTAGCCCCATGAATGAGGAACTGACGGTCTGCACAGGTGAAGGTTTGTGAGCAAGAGCTGGGTCAGAGAGGAGGCACCTGTTCTTCCAGAGGGGCCTGGGTCTGGGTGTGATGGGGTAATGCAGTGTGTGTGGTGCGCCGCTGCTGGGTGACTACCCAAGGCTTAACTGTGGCTGGGTGTTGTGGGTGTCTGTGTGTCAACGTGTGGTCAGGTATAGCCATATCTGGCCAGGCTGGTATGGACACCTGTTCCTGTCTTCGTGTCCCATGGGTGTAGCTGTGTGTACCAACCCAAGTGTGAGTCTGAATGGAGCTGGACTTTTTTTTTTTTTTTTTGAGATGGAGTTTCTCTCTTGTTGTCCAGGCTGGAGTGCAATGGTGTGATCTTGGCTCACTGCAACCTCCGCCTCCCGGGTTCAAGCGATTCTCCTGCCTCAGCCTCCTAAGTAGCTGGGATTACAGGCATGTGCCACCACGCCCAGCTAATTTTGTATTTTTAGTAGAGATGGGGTTTCTCCATGTTGGTCAGGCTGGTCTTGAACTCCCGACCTCAGGTGATCCGCCCACTTCCCAAAGTGCTGGGGTTACAGGTGTGAGCTACCACGCCTGGCTGGACTTTTAGTGACTGTAGCTCCAGACATAGCCATAGCCCCCAACAGCTCTGTGTGCTGGAGCTGTACCTTTGTGTGGGTGTGTTGGAGACGGCCTCTGGGGTAGCCTTGGCCCTGTGACCTGGGCTGTTGGAGCTCTGTAGCAGGTGGCCCCCATCACAAGGGGGCACTGTGCATCTTCCTAAACCATCACCGCCGCTGGTGGCCAGTGTGTGGGCAAGGAAGGCTGGGAACTGGCACAAAGATGCCCTCAGCCAGGCCCAGCGCTTCTGCCCCTATTTCTCTGGGCAGTCCTGGCTCTCCTCAGAGTTTTTGCCCTGGGGGAAGGGAAAGGATGTCATTAAAAATCCTACCTAGTAAGTCTCATGGGAGGGGTCCATAGCGATGTCTCTCCCAACTGCCTCATTTGACAAGTGGAGAAACTAAGGTTCAGTTGGGAAATAACCTCTCTCAGACCCAAGCCCGGGATCACTTCCCAACCCTGAGATAAAGCCACATGTGCAACATGTTCCAACATGTGCAACAGCTTCCAACACAGGCCGTAAGTGCCCATTGCAAGACGGGTACTGACAGTGCATGTTGGAGCTGCTCTGGCCTGGGTTTCTGGTTCTGACTCCATCACTTACCTGGCGTGTGACTCTGAGTCTCTGATGCCTTTCTCTGGGCTTCTTTTTCCCATCAGTAAACTGAGAGGATTGATGCCTTTGCTCTTCAAGCCCCTCTTTTCCAGCATGGGCCTTCTAGTTCCTACAGGTTAGAGGTCAGTGTGACCTGGGAGCAGTGATGGTTCTGTGCACCTGGTGGGTAATTATCCTTGTTAAAGACGGCTGGGCATTAAGCATAGCCCAGAGAACTTAGGGTCACACATGACTTAGTGGCTGAGTCAGGATGAGAAGAAAGTCAGGCCTCCTGGTCCCTCACCAGCGCCCGCTGCCCTACCCCAGCACCCCCTGCCCTACCCCAGCAGCTATCCTGACCCTCTCTCTGGGCATAGGTATCAGTGCTTCATTGATACAACCCTGTGTTCCTCCTTGAAGTTGTCTTGCCATTTCCCAAGTCATCTGCCTCCCATATCCATGCCGGGCAGGTCCTGTGCTGGAGACTGTCCTCTCCACTCCCTTATTGAGTCCTAGGAGAAGCCCCATTTTACAGATGGGGAAACCAAGGCTTGATGGAGTTAAGAAATAATAGAAGCTATTATTTTTAAACCTTCTCTGTCTCAATGCCAGACTCTGTGCTGGACACTCACTAAAGTGGGCAGAGAGTGACTAGTCCAACCTCCCAAATTTTCCCCCAAATGGTGCCGAGACCTGCCCGGGATCTGCCAGCCTGATTTAGACAGCAATTTGCATACAATTTACCCAGAAAGCTGCACTGTGAAAAAATATAATTACTTTTTTAATATTCTCGCTCTGATGTGAATGCTTACTGCCCGGTAATGAATTACTTGCTTAATGAAGATAAACCTGAATTGGAGATGCACTTCGGACGGCTGCTGCGGCGTCCGGTTTGATGCCATCATTTGCAGCTGTTAATTTCTGAAATTGATGCCCTTGTTGGTGGGATCATAAATTGAGGGGGAAATCTATGAGCTCCAGCACTTCCAGTTTTTTACTCTGTGGCATTGGTGGAGCTACTTAGCCTCTCTGTGCCTCAGTTTCCTCATCTATAACAAGGGTATTGGGGTAAGTTAGAACTATATAAATGTGGGTCCATCTCACAGTAAAGTGATCTTTACTGGAGAATGATTGAGCATCTACAATGTGTCAGGTGAGAGACAGAGGGGAAGTGATTTATTCAAAGACACTCATGGACTCAGAGGCTTCTGAACTAGAATGAGTAGCCACAGCTTTGTGTCCAGGTGCTACACTTGGATCTCTTCTCCTAAATGGCCTTGAAGATGCCTCCTGACTGCTGGTGATGGGAAAGAGAGCCAGGCTGAAGTCAGACACTGGTAGGAGAAAAAAAAAAACAAAAAAAACTGTGGAGGTGTGGCCACTGGAAACTCTACCCGTTCCTTTACCTGATGCTAACCATGTCTGGGGACTGATCACAGAAGAGCACAGGGCTGGGGGCCAGCACAACAAGCCAACGATTCAGCAAATATGTAGTTACTGCCATCTATGGCCATATGTTTTAGGCTCCTAGCACACAGCCATGAGTAAGACCAGCAAGGTCCCTGCCTACATGGACCTGAAATTCTAAAAGGTGTGGTGAACACATAGCGATAATAGATGAGTTAACTAAGAATAAAGATAAAGTCAGATAATGATAAGTGAAATAAAATTTTTTAAATAGATAATATGAAACAGATCAATTGAGGGGGTAATTTTGACTTGGCCTAAAAGACTTCCCTAAAGAGGTGACACCTGGACTGAAATGTAAATGATATTAAGTCCCAGCATTTTGGGAGGCTGAGGCAGGAGGATTGCTTGAGCCCAGGAGTTTGAGGCTGCAGTGAGCTATGATTGTGCAACTACATTCCAGCCTGGGTGACAGAGCAAGACCCCATCTCTAACTAACTAACTTAATAACTAACAAACTGAATGAATGGATGAATGAATAAATGATATTAAGGAATCAGCCCTGTAAATATTAGAAATGTGATTCCAGGTGAGATCAGAAAAGTAGGTAGGAGGTAGATCATAAAGAGCCTTATAGGTTGTGGAAGGGACTTTGGTTTTATTTTTTGTGCAGAGGGAAGCCACTGAGGGCTTTCATAAGGGGAGTGATATAATTTATTGGCATTTATGAAGATTATTCCATAAAAGAAAATAGAAAATCTGGAAAACGATATCTATTAAAGAAATTGAATTTATAATATAAAAATTTCCCACCCAGATGGTTTCACTGGTAAATTCTATCAAATATTTAAGGAATAAATGATACCAATCATACACAAACTCTCAGAAAATATACGAGAGAACATACCCCAACTAATTTTACGAGCCCAGAGTAATCCTCCTGCTGAATTATTTAGTTCTCCATAGCTAACTATGCTGATAAGTAGTGGCTTAAAACAATAATTTGTTGTTATTATATCTCATGATTCTAGGGTCAGGAATTTGGACAGACCACAGTGGAGATGGCTAATCTATGCCCCACGGTGTCTGGGGCCTCAGCCGGGGTGACTCAAAGGTGTCTGTGATATGTAACAATTGGAGGCTGAGTAGGCATCTTTCTCTCCTCTCCAGGTGGCCTCTCGGTGAGCTTAGGTTCCCTCACAGCATGGCGGCCTCAGGGTGGTTGGATTTCCTACATAGCAGCTTGGATCTCCAAGTATGAGTATTACAAGAGGCCTGGGAAGAAGCTTCAAAGCTTCTTACAACTTTACTTTGAAAGGGCACTTCTTCTTCTTCTTTATTTTTTATTTTATTTCATTTTATTTATTTATTTATTTTTGAGACGGAATCTCACTCTGTCACCCAAACTGGAGTGCAGAGGTATGATCTCAGCTCACCACAACCTCCGCCTGCTGGGTTCAAGCGATTCTCCTGCCTCAGCTAGGTAGCTGGGACTACAGGTGTGCACCACCATGCCCACTATGTTTTTAGTTGAGATGGGGTGCCACCATGTTGGCCAGGCTGGTCAACTTGAGCAACTAGGCCATGATGGTGTGTGACTTACTGAGATGGAACAACTGGTAGAGGAATGGTTTGGGGCGAGAGGAATCAAGTCTCTGTTTCATATGTACTAAGTCTGGGAGACCCATGAGGCCATATGGAGAGGTGTTAAGGAGGCAGTTGAATATATAGGTTTGGATCCTGGGAAGAGATCAGGACTGGGGATTTATATTTTAAAGTCAATGTGTAGATGATATTCAGAGCCAAGAGGGTGCCAGGTGCAGTGGCTCATGCCTGTAATCCCAGCACTTTGGGAGGCTGAGGCTGATCATTTGAGCCCAGGAGTTTGAGAGCAGCCAGGGCAACATAGTGAGACCCCATCTCTGCAAAACATAGAAATTAGTCAGCTGTGGTGGCGCAGCCTGTAGTTCAAGCTGCTTGAGAAGCTGAGGTGGGGTGAATGCTTAAGCTGGGAAGTTGAGGCTGCAGTGAGCCACGACTGTACAGCCTGGGTGACAGAATAAGACCCTGTCTCACAAAAAAAGAAAAAAAGAAAGAGAAAGAAAGAAAGAAAGAAAGAAAGAAAGAAAGAAAGAAAGAAAGAAAGAAAGAAAGAAAGAAAGAAAAAGTGAGTTAAAGCCATGGGGCAGAATGAGCTCAGCTGGTGAGGGAGACTAGATAGAAGAGAGAAGAGAGCCAAGGCTTGTTCCCTGGGCCACTCCCACTTTTAGAAGAGGGGACGAGCAATAGAGTTTAACACAGGAGCCTGAGAGAGGTAGGGAGATGGACAATTGGGAGAATGAGGTGTAGAGAAAGTCACTGGGCTTGGGGAGGGGAGAACGGGGAATGTGGGAGGGGGCCTAACCCCCATTTTCCAGTGTCTTCTATGTGCCAGACGCTGTCTTGGGAGATTTACATGCACTCCTTCAGGACAATGTTGCCAAGTAGGGATTATTGTTCCTATTTCATGGATGATAAAACTGAGACCCAGATTGGTGAAATGACTTGCCCAAATCATACAAATAGGGATGGAGAGCCTGGATTAGCAGCCAGATCTGTCTTTGAGATTCTTTCCACCACCCTCCAGCAATCATGCCTCCAGCAGGGGTTGCAGGATTGGGGGAAGCCACTTATGGTTTCTCATCTGTAAAATGTTCACCTTTCAGGGTTATGAGGATAAAATGGGATAATCCGTGTTAAGCACCTGGCAGCGCTTAACCGGGTGGGCCCTTAGTAAACAATAATGACTGTGGCTATATGTGCAGAGTGCAACAGAGTCTCGCAGACAGTGACTGGTACTGGGGGGAGCTAGGGGGTGACGGGGTGAGGCTGTGGAGTAGGCTTCCTGTAGGAGGCCCAATGTGAGCTGAGGATTCCGTGGTTTGAAACACTGATCTGTGACAAAGTTTCCAGTGGTTCATGGGGTGAAATGAGAAAAAGGACAACACAATGGGTTTTATGTAAAGCTAAATGTGTTCAATGTAAAGGATTACTCTTTATCCTGAGATTATGTCCTTCCTGCTTTGTTGGTATTAAAGCATCCTTTTTATGAAACGATGGTGGTTAGAGGATGGTAGTTATATTTTAAATATCTTTACTAATGAAATGAAAACTTGGCAACCTTCGATCATTCCCCACACTTTCTTTTGAAGTTTTTAACTGATCCATGAAATTCAAAAGTCTGACAGCCACTGACAGCTGGAGCAGGGAGGGCATTCTAGGCAGAGAACTGCATGTGCAAGGGCAAAGTTGGCGGGAGAGGCACAGGCTGGTCTGGAACTGCAAATAAGTAGCAAGAGCAGTAAGGGCAGCTGGGAGGTCCAACAAGGAACCAGGAGGCCCCATCCTGGGGTGGGGTGGTCACCCTGTGAAGTCCCTACCCTCTCTTCCTGCTGCCCAGCATGGCAGGAGAATTCCCTGTGCACTAAGGCTGCTCCCCAGGGCATCCCATGACCATGTGCAATGTGTGCGTGTGTGTGCATGCGTGCATGTGTGTGTGCCTGCATCCTTGGTGAGGCAAGGAGGCCAGCCATGGACTGACGGGGTCTTGCCTAATAAATCTTGAAGAGACATACAGGATGGAAATAGAGATCAGGAAAGACACTGGGGAGAAAGACAAGAAAACCCGGGACTATCTGAGTAGAAGGAGCAGTGTCTGCATGTTGGGGCACATATGTGCATGTGTATGTGTGCGTATGTCCCTGAGAGCATGTGGACCGGTGTGTGTGTGTACATTTGCATTGTAAGAAAGTGTGTGCTATTTCTGGGTTATCCATGTGGGCAGGGGGAAAATCTCTGCTGGCTCTATTAGGCTTTGGCTTGAGTGTATGTCCAGTGTATGTTGGGGTGCTTTGCTGCTGGTGCAAATGTGGCACTGTTGTGCATACTGTACATATACAGATATGAGAGATAGGTGAGAGGTGTCAATACTGTGTAGCTCAGTGTGTCTGTGTGCTGTTAGGTGGTCTGTTCAACATGGGTAATGTCTCTGGGCTGTGTGTGTCTGTGTGTGGGCAGGAGCCACGGTGGGCGTGTACTGATGGTACTGAGTGTGAACTGTGTGTGTCTGTATGTGGGGAGGGAGTCTATGGTGGGTGTGTGCTGATGGTACTGAGTATGAACTGTGTGTGTCTGTATGTGGGGAGGGATCCCATGGTGGGTGTGTGCTGATGGTACTGAGTGTGAACTGTGTGTGTCTGTATGTGGGCGGGAGTCCATGGTGGGTGTGTGCTGATGGTACTGAGTGTGAACTATGTGTGTCTGTATGTGGGCAGGGAGTCTGTGGTGGGAGTGTGCTGCTGGTATTAAGTGTGAGCTGTGTGTGTCTGTGGGGAGAGAGTCCATGGTGGGCATGTGCTGATGGTATTGAGTGTAAGCTGTGTGTGTCTGTATGTGGGGAGGGAATCCGTGGTGGGCGTGTGCTGATGGTACTGAGTGTGAGCTGTGTGTGTCTGTATGTGGGGAGGGAGTCCATGGTGGGCGTGTGCTGATGGTACTGAGTGTGAGCTGTGTGTGTCTGTATGTGGGGAGGGAGTCCATGGTGGGCATGTGCTGATGGTATTGAGTGTGGGCTGTGTGTGTCTGTATGTGGGCAGGGAATCTGTGGTGGGTGTGTGCTGATGGTATTGAGTGTCTGTTGGAGCCCAGGCTCCCCTCCCTTCCCCCACTCTTCTGATGACCCAGGCTGCCAGTCTTGTTTATTTCCATATGTTGTCTGTCTCTTCCAGGCCTATGTCTGACTCTGACCAAGGGCTCATATACATGACCCTTGGAGATGGAGATTGGTACAGGCAAAGTCCTTGCTCCCTTCCTCTCCAACCCTCCCAGGCTCCGGTCAGCCCTAGGCTGCTAAGCCTCAGGATCCTACTTTCTGACCTGAGGAGGAAGAGGCCTTGTGGTTTAGGGATGGCCATTGCCAACCCATGTTACCAGCTTACTTTGGTCCTGTAGAGGCTCTCCATGCCTCTCTATATCCTTCCCATTCCCTGGCCCCGGCCAGCCTGTATTTCAGCTTTCTCCTGGTCCCTGTGGGGAGGCTTGGGTCAGCCTGCTCATCTCCAGCCTCCTCCATCATCCTTTCTGCCAGCCCCAGGCCCCTTCTCCAGCTTGTTCAGATTCAGGTTTCTGGACCAGGCTGGCTCATGGGGAACAAGTGTCTTCCCCAGTCCTGCCCTTTCCACAGGGGCCACTTGTCCTCTGCCCAGGAGCCTGCTGAGAGAGTTCAATGGAGAGAAAGAAATGCGGTGGGGGTGAGACAGTGTGTACAATGTAAACAAGGGTTCCCCCGTGAGTGGGTGTTTGTGAGTCTCTGCAAGTTGGGGCGTAGGAGGGGGGTGTCAGTGCTGCTGCCAGGGCCCATGCATGCAGCGTGTGCAGACAGACTGGGTGGGGGCGGGGCCTCACATTTATCCAGTGCTCACTGCTCGCCAGTCAGGATGCTAAGTGCTTTACTCAGATTATCTCATTTAATAAGTGTGACAGTGTGTGAGAGGGTGACAGAGACGGGGCAGAGAAGGGCAGGTGGTCAGGAGGCGGCTGCTTGCAAGTCCCTGGCAGAGTATTTCCTTAATCCATCCCAACAGCGTGCCCTGCTGGGTCTGACCCAGGCCTCAGGCTGGGGAGCAACCTCTTAGCCCCTCTCCATATGGAGACACAGGAGGTGGGAGCAGGCTATGCCCCAAGTTCCCGGCCCACCTCCCTGCCCTGCCCTCAGCCAGAGGATGTCCCCTCCCAGAACAGAGGGCTGCCTGCTCCTTTCCTTTTCTCCTGCGTGTGCTCAGTACAGGGCCCAGCACTGCAGGTGCCTAATTGGTCCCTACCCCTTAGCAGAGGCCAGGCCGACCTGAGGAGTTGTCTGTACATTCAATCAGCCTAGTCCCTACTCTGTAAATCTCATATAGAGGAAATGAGAACCCCCATGGTTCAGAGGAGCCAGGCCCCAGATATGAAGGAAGCAAAGGGGTCCAAGCTAAGGCCAAGACAGCTCACCGGTCATTCCACCGGAGGGAGCAGGGCTGCAGGCCCCACCAAAGTCTCGGAGTCCTGCCTCTGACACCCACTGCTTCACCTACTCCAATTCGTTGCTGGCTTTTAGGTAAGCTAATATTTGCCTGAGGATGCTTAGAAGTGAGGACTGGGGTCTCTTGTCATCCAGGTGGGATCGTCGCAGAGGTCTGATGGCAAGGATGCCATGGATTTCTAGAGGAAGAGGGACAAGGAAGGAAGGGAGGAGGGAGGGAGGGAGACCATGAACATGAATGGACTCCCTCCTATGCACAAACTACCCCAGGGGACCAAGCGGCTACCCAGAGACACTCAGACAAGTATCAGAAGACCGACCCTGAGCCGCAACAGGGGGAGGGCTTCCAGGAGGAAGTGGGCCTGGGACCGAAGCTTGGAGGGATTGCCATGGTGAGGAACACTGGGGGAGGAGCTGTGGGAGTGGCAAGCCCAGAGGAACACAGCCTTTCCGAAGAGCACAGCGCCCCCACCTTCCCCGGAGCTGCAATGATAACAGTAGCTATGAGCACCAAATGTTTTCGGGAAAACAAAAATATTAGCCATTATTTAAGGAGTATTTTGGGGAAAATGCCATTATTATTCACCCAAAGTCTGTGGCACCACCAGGTACTCAGGCTGAAAACCTCAGTCACTGTCCACGTCCCCCTCCACAACCCACTTCCACCCACTTCCAAGCAGTCACCAGATCCTGAGTATCCTCTTTCTCAGGGATTGGGGTCAGACAGACCTGGGTTCCATCCCAGCTCCATCACTTGTCTGCTGTGTGATCTTGGGCAAGTCACTTAACCTCTCTGTGCCCCAATTTTCTCTACTGTACTGAGAGGATGATAACAGTACTTACAGGTTTGTTGTGAGAATTCAACAAGTTAACACATATAAAGAGCTTAGCACAATGTCTAGCAGAATAGACACTTAGGAAACATGAGCTATTTTTATTTCCACTAAACTATGTGTTTCCCCAGATCAAAACTGTGCTTATAACACTGTCCTGCTGAGGAACCTGCCAGTGCTGCCTTGCACCTTGCAGCCCAGCAAGGTGGAACAGTCAGGTCTTCCTAAATGCATCATGCTACCTATATTAATTAGTCTTCCACAATGAAATAACACAGGCTGAGCAGCTGACACAACAGAAATTTATTTTCTCACAATTCTGGAGGCTGGAAGGCCAAGATCAAGGTGTTGGCAGATTTGGTTTCTCCTGAGGCCTCTCTCCTTGGCTTGCAGAGGGCTGCTTTCTCACTGTGTCCTCACATGTTCTTCCTCTGTGCACATCCAGCCCTGGTATCTTTTTATGAGTCCAAATTTCCTCCTTTTATAAAGACACCAGTCAAGGCCAGGCATGGTGGCTCACGCCTGCACTCCCAGCACTTTGGGAGACCAAGGCGGGTGGATCACTTGAGGCCAGGAGTTCGAGGACCAGCCTGACCAACATGGCGAAACCTTGTCTCTGCTAAAAATACAAAACTTACCTGGGTGTAGTGGTGCATGCCTATAGTCCCAGCTACTTGGGAGGTTGAGGCACAAGAATTGCTTGAACCTGGGAGGCGGAGGTTGCAGTGAGCTGAGATCGTGCCATTGCATTCCAGCCTGGGTGACAGAGCAAGACTCTGCCTCCAAAATAAATAAATAAATAAATAAACCAGTCAAACTGGATTGGGGCCCACCTTAGGGCCTAATTTTAATGTAATCACCTCTTTAAATGCCCCATGTCCAGATACAGTCACATTCTGAGGAACTAGGGGTTAGGGCTTCAACAAATGATTTTTGGGGCTGGGCATGGTGGCTCACACCTGTAATCCCAGCACTTTGGGAGACCGAGGCTGGCAGATCAACTGAGGTCAGGAGTTCGAGACCAGCCTGGCCAACATGGTGAAACCCCATCTCTACCAAAAAAACATACAAAAATTAGCTGGGCGTGGTGGTGCACACTTGTAGTCCCAGCTACTGAGGAGGCTGAGGCAGAAGAATTGCTTGAACTTGGGAGATGGAGGTTGCAGTGAGCCAAGATTGTGCCACTGCACTCCAGCCTGGGTGACAGAGCAAGACTCTGTCTCAAAAAAAAAAAAAGAAAAAAAAAAATTTTGGGGGGGGTCGTAATTCAGCCCATAGCGCCACCTTCCTTCTCTGCATCTTTCTGCATGTTGCTGTTCTCTCTGCCTGAAACACTGTCCACATTTTCTCTTCTTCTCCCAAGAAGTTCTCCTACTCATCATCTAAAACCTAGACAGAGCGTCACCACCTCCAGGAAGGCTTCCTAGCTAGACTGCTGCCTCCTCTGGGCTCTCACAGCCCACTGTGTTGACCTATATCATGACATGTATCACACTCTAAGAACTGTCATTTGCTGGGGTGGATGCCTGTTGTTTTGATCTGTACAGCATCCCATTCCCCCTCTGATAACAGCATCTTCTTCTCTTTGAAGAAGTGACGCCCCCTCACCCCCTCCACTCCTGTGACTGTGGCTCAGATGACTCAGTAAATTACAGTTGCTGCTTCTTGCCGCAGGAATGAGCATGTGATGAAGCAGAGCCAATCAGAGTCCTTCCCTGAGATTTTTATCTACAAATGTTGGGCAGGAAAATGCTGATCTTTCCTCTGGGGTCCAGAATGACGTAAACTTGGAGCTTTGTGTGGTCATGGCCCAGATTTGTCCTGCCAGGAAGGACGTCTATCTGCAGGGGAAAGAATCAGGCCCACGCCCAAGGGAAGCACCTATGAAGAGCTGGTCACTCTATGTAAATTTTAAGCTTTTCATATATAATTTTTTGTGTGTTTTGGGCAATACATTTAAAAGGTTCAAAAATCAAAATAATACACACAGCTATACAATAAAAAGTTTCAGTTTTATCCTTGTTCCTGTTAACTCATCTCCTATCACATGGATAATCATGTTTTAATATTTCTTGTGGGTCCTTCCTATGGTTCTTTATGAAAATATAAGTGGCCGGTCACGGTGACTCACGCCTGTAATCCCAGCACTTTGGGAGGCTGAGGTGGGTGGATCATGAGGCCAGGAGATTGAGACCATCCTGGCCAACATGGTGAAGCCCCGTTTCTACTAAAATACAAAAACAACAACAACAACAAAAAATTAGCCTGGCGTGGTGGTGCATGCCTGTAGTCCCAGCTACTCTGGAGGCTGAGGCAGGGGAATCACTTGAACCTGGGAGGTGGAGGTTGCAGTGAGCCGAGATCACACCACTGCACTCTAGCCTGGTAACAGAGCTAGACTCCGTCTCAAAAAGAAAAAAAAAAAAAAAGCAAAGAAAATACAAGGAAATAATAATATATATTATTTTTCTCTCTTCTTGGAAAAAAGAATACTATACATTCTGTTCTACACCTTGCTTGTTTTTATTCATTTAGCAATATATCCTGGGGTACTTTCCATAAATTACTCTGTGACCTTTCTCTCTCTTTTCACAGCTGCATAATATTTCATTGTATGGATAAACTACACAGTTCCCAGTGATGAAGACCAAGATTGTTCCCAATCTGTTTGCTATTATAAACAGTGTTGCAACAAACAGGCTTTGTGTGTATCATTTCATATGAGTACAAGAGTTTCTGTAGACTTGACAATAAAAAGATAACCCAATTGAAAAAACAGACAAAGGATTTGAATAGTCATTGCTCCAAAGAAGATATGATAAGTATATTAAAAAGTTGCTCACCATCATTACCCATTAGGGAAATGCAAATCAAAACCACAGTGAGATACTGCACATTCACTAGGATGGCTATAATCAAAAAGACACATAATAACAAGTGTCTTAGTTCATTTCAGCTGCTATAACAAAATATCGCAGACTGGTTGGCTCAAACAACAGAAATGTTATTTCTCATGGTTCTGGAGGCTGGGAAGTCCAAGATCAAGGGGCTGGCTGATTTGGTTTCTGGTGAGCCCTCTCTTCTGGGCCTGTAGAGGACCACTGTTGCACTGAGTACCTAGGACCTTTTTTTCCTCTGCATGTGTAGAGAGAGAGAGACAGAAAGAGAGCACACAAATGTATGCTGGTGTTTCTTTCTCTTTTATTTTTATCAACTTAATTTAATTTTTAGATTTCAAATTATGAAATATTTAAAGAATACAGTAAAGTACAGAAAAATATAATTGACCTCTATATAGCCCATTCACTTGATTTAACAAATGTGTGGTATTTTGCCATGTTTACTTCAGAACTCGCTCTTTTTGTAGAAAATAAAAATATTAAATACATAGCTAAAGCCCAATCTCATCCCTTCCCGCTCCCTCTCCTCATGTTAACCACTAGCCTGAAATTATGTTTTTATACTTTTATTGCATATTTGAATGAGATCATAAATAATACATTGGCAGCTTTTTTCCAATATTTTTATTGTGCTAAAATACATACAACATGAAATTTACCATCTTAACCATTTTAAAGCATATAGTTCAGTGGCATTAAACACGTTCATAAAGTTGTGTGACCGTTACCCCAATTCATCTCCATAACTCTTTTCATCTTACAAAATTGAAACTCCATTAAACAATAACTCCCCATTTCCACTTCCCCCTAGCCCCTGGAAACCACCATTGTACTTTCTATCATTATGATTTTGACCACTCTAAGTACCTTATGTAAGTGGAATCATACAGAATTTGTCTTTTTGTGGCTGGCTTATTTCACTAGTATAATGTCCTCAGGGTTCATCCATGTTATAACATATTGCAGAATCTCCTTCCTTTTTTAGGGCTGAGGAATATTCCATTGTATGGACATATCATCTTTTGCTTATCTATTCATCCACTGATGGACATCTGGGGTGCTTCCACACTGTAGCTATTGTGAGTAATACCGCTATGAACATGGGTTGATAAATATCTTCCTCTTCTTATAAGTGCACCTATAAGAGCCATATTAGGGCCTCACCCTTATGATAAAGGTATAACCTTTATCACCTTCTCACAGGTCCTATCTCTAATACAATGACATAGAGCTTCAACACATATATTTTGAAGGGACACAAACATTTAGTCCAAGACAATGGATGAGAATATGGAGAAATTGGAACTCTAATACATTGCTGGTGGGAATGTAAAATGGTACAGCAAATTTGGAAAACAGTTTGGAAGTTCTTCAAAATGTTAACATGGAGTTATCATGTGACCCAGAAATTATCCTAGGTATACAACTAAGAGAAATAATAACACGTTCATAAAATTGCACAAAAGCTTGTACATGACTGTTCATAGCAGCATTATTCATAATAGCAAAAAATAAAAATAATCCAGATGTCATCAACTGATGAATGGATAAACGTGGCATATTCATATGATGAAATATGATTTGGCAATAAAAAGAAATGAAGTACTGATACAGGCTACAACACAGATGAACCTTAAAAACATTATGCTAAGTGAAAGAAGCCAGTTGTGAAGGATCACGTACGATTCCATTTATATAAAATGTTCAGAATAGGCAAAACTATATACAGAGAAAGTAGATTAGTGGTGGCCTAGGGCTGGAGAAATTGGTAGAAAATGGAAGTGACTCCTTAATGGGTATGAAATGTTAGGGGAGAGATGAAAATGTTTTAAAATAAATTGTGGTAAAGGTTGCACAACTCTGAAAACAAACTAAAATTTGTTGACTTATACACTTTAAATGGGTGAATTGTGTGGTATGGGAATTAGATCTTAGAAGAGCTGTTAAAGAAAAAAAAAGTTTCTTGTAGAATAAATTCCCAGAACTGGGACTGTTGGGTCAAAGGGAAAATGCATTTAAAATTTTTTACATTTTTACCCTCATCAGCAATGTATGAAATAGCAAGGCAGGTACATTTTATGTAGGAGGAAACTGAGGCACGGACAATCCAAAATCACATAATTAATAACACCCGAGCTGTGACTGAAATCAGGTCTGTTGGACTCCAAAACATGTGCTCTGCTGCAGACAATTCATTTGGTATTTTTCCAATAGTCATTTGATCTTCTTTAAAAAAAAAAAAAAAAACGTAACTTTTGATTGCATTGATTTTCTTTGTTGCTTTTTCGTTTTTCTATATCATTTATTTCTGCTCTGATCTTTATTATTTCCTTTTTTTCTGCTGATTTTGGTTAAATTCACTCTTCTTTTTTCTATTTCTTAAGATAGAAGCTGATAACACTATTTGAGACCTTTCTTCTTTTCTAATATAGGTGTCTAGTCCTATAAATTTCCCCCTAAGTACTGCTTTAGTGGTATCCTACAAATTCTGATATGTTGCATTTTTATTTTCACTTGGATCAAAATACTTTCTAATGTCTCTTTTGATTTTTTTTTAACTTGGAGGTTATTTAAAGTGTCTTATTTTGTTCTCAACTATTTGGGGATTTTCCAGATCCCTTTTTGTTATTGATTTGTAATTTAATTCCACTGTGGTCAGAGAACATGCTTTGACTAATTTTAGATGTATTGAAATTTGTTTTATGGTCAGAATATGGTCTATCTTGATAAATGTTTTTATGTACACTGAAAAATGTGTATTCTTCTGTTGTTGGGTAAAGTGTTTTATAAATGTCAGTTAAGTTGGTTGATAGTGTTGTTCAAGTTTACTATACATTCTTGATGATTTTCTGCCTGCTTGTTCTATCAATTATTGAGAGAGGGACATTGAAATATCTCCAACTGTAATTGTAGATTTGTACATTTTTCCTTGTAATTCTATCAGGTTTTACTTAATGTATTTTGAAACTCTGCTATTAGGTGTATAAATGTTTGGCACTGTTATATTTTCTTAATGAACTAAACACTTTATCATTATGAAATGACTCTTTATCTCTGGTAATATTCTTCACTTGAAATCTACTTTGTATTATATTAATATAGCCATTTCAGTTTTCTGTTGATTATTGTTAGCACAGTACATCTTTACTCATAATTTTTACTTACTTTAACTTATTTCATATTTAAAGTGGATTTCTTTCTTTCTTCTTTTTTTTTGAGAGGGAGTCTCGCTGTGTTGCCTAGGCTGGAGTGCAGTGGCACAATTTTGGCTCACTGCAACCTCCACCTCATGGATTCAAGCGCTTCTCCTGTCTCAGCCTCCCAGGTAGCCACCACACCCAGCTAATTTTTGTATTTTTAGTAGAGACAGGGTTTTGCCATGTTGGCCAGGCTGGTCTTGAACTCCTGGCCTCCAGTGATCTGCCCAGCTCAGCCTCCCAAGTTGCTGGGATTATAGGCATGAGCCACTGAGCCCAGCCTAAAGTGGATTTCTTAGAAATCCACTATGAATCAAGATTCATAGAATTGAATCTTGCTCTGTACAAACAATCTGACAGTTTGGCTTTTTAACTGTGGTATTTAGACCATTTATACTGAATGCGATTATTGATATGATTAGGTTTAAATCTACCTGCTTGCTATTTGTTCCATGTATTGTTTCTTCTCTTTTCCCTCTTTTTCTGCCTTTTTTGGATTGGATATTTTGTGACTTCATTTTATCTCCTTTATTAGCTTAATTAGATACAACTACTTTTTAGTGGTTACTTTTGGGTTTATAGTGTACATCCTCAATCCCAAACCACTTTGAGTAATATTATACCACTTCACACAGAGTAAGAACCTTACAACAGCATGCTTCTCTTTCCTCCTTCACAACCTTTAGGCTATTGTTGTCATGTGTTTAATTTCTATATATGTTATAAACCCAGAGTACTTGTTGTTTTGCTTTAACCAATAAATTATCTTTTAAAGATACTTTCAAAATAAAAAAAATTCAATGTTTTCTCACATAACTACTTTTCCAGAGGCCTTTATTCCTTGGTGTAGATTAAAATTTCCATCTGGTGTCATTTTTGCTTCTGTCTCAAGGACTTTCTTTAACATTTCTTGTAGATCAAGTCTGCCATTGATGAATGTTTTCAACTTTTTATTTTGGAAAAAGTAATCATTTCTCCTCTGTTTTGAAATATATTTTCACTGGGTACAGAATTCTGGGTTGACAGGTTTTTTCATTATTTTTTTACCTTCTGTACTTTAATGATGTTATTCCACTGTCTTCTTGCTTGAAATATTTCCAATGAGAAGTCTGCTGTCATTCATTGTTCTTTTGTATATGATGTGTCTCTTTTTCTCTGCTACTTTTCAGATTTTCTCTTTATTACTGGTTTTAAGCAATTTAATCATTACATGCCTTGGTGCTTGATGTTTGTTGGTATTTTTGAATCCATGGTTTATGGTTCGTATCAAATATGGGAAATTATTGGTTATTTATTTAAATATTTTTATGCTCCTCTCCTCTTTGAGAGACTCTTAACTACATATATGTTAGACTGCATAAAATTATCCCACAGCTCACTGATGAGCTATTCACTTTATATATATCTATATATATCATTATATATTTTTTTCTGTATTTTATTTTAAATAGTTTCTATTGCTATGTCTTCAAATTTACTAGTCCTTTCTTCTGTGTTAATTCAAATCTGTATTAATTCAAATCTGCTGTTAATGCCATCCAGTGTCATTTTTCACTGCAGACATTGTATTTTTTTATATCTAGAAGTTTGATTTGGGTCTTTTCTCCCCTTTCTCTCTACTTAACATGATCAGTCATTACTCTAGTTTTCTGAGCTTATGGAATACAGTCATTATAATTGTTTTAATGTCTTGTATACTAATTCTATCTTCTGTGCTATTTTGGGGTATGTTTCTTTTCTTTTCTTTTTTTTTTTAGATGAAGTCTCACCCTGTAGCCCAGGCTGGAGTGCAGTGGCGTAATTAACCTCTACCTCCTGGGTTCAAGCAATTCTCCTGCATCAGCTTCCAGAATAGCTGGGATTACAGGTGCGTGCCACTGCACCTGGCTAATTTTTTGTATTTTTAGTAGAGACAGGGTTTCACCATGTTGGCCAGGCTGGTCTTGAACTCCTGACCTCAGGTAATCTGCCTGCTTCGGTCTCCCAAAGTGCTAGGATTATAGGCGTGAGCCACCACACCTGGCCAGGTATGTTTCTATTGCTTAATTTTTTATCCTTATTATCGGTTGTATTTTTCTGTTTCTTTGCATGCCTAGTAGTTTTTTGTTGGATGTGAAACATCATGAACTTTACCTTGTGTGCTGACCATTTTAATATTCCTATAAATATTCTTAAACTTTGTTCTGGGATGCAGTTAAGTTACTTGAAAAGTTTGATTTTTTGAGGCTCACTTTGCAGCGTTCTTAGGCAGGACTACTATGTTTCCTCCCACTGTTAAAGCAATGCCCTTTTAAGGAATCTGCTTGATGCTTTGTGATTTATGAAGTTTTCCACTCTGGTTGATAGGGAGGCAAACCACTCCAGGTCTTCGGAAACTGGTTCCTCTGCTCCTTTGGGATATTCTTTTCTTAAACCTGGGTAGTTTCCTCACATACAAATACTGTTCGATATTCACCCGAAGGCTTTCAGGGGGCTCTCTGCAGATCTTTGGAGCTCTCTCTCTGGGAAGCTCTCCTCTCCAGTTCTCTGCCCTGTGAACTCTAGTCATGTTGGCCTCTCAGCCTCTCTGTTCTGTCTCCTCCACTCAGGGAGCTATAATAGCTTGGATGCTACTCCTTGTGCTGCAGCCTGGAAACTCTCCCCAGGTAGAAGCTGGCAAGTGTAGGGCTTACCTCATTAGTTTCTTGTCTCGGAGGAATTGCTGTTTTGTATTTGCCTTATGTTCAGTGTCTGAAAACTGTTGTTTCATATATTTTATCTAGGTTTTCAGTTGCTTTAGGAGAGAGGGTGAATCGACTCCCTGTTATTTCTTCTGTCCAGAAGCCCTGTAACTACATTTCCACACTTAATTATCACACATATCTTGTATATTAGGTATGATTATCCCCATTTTATAGATGAGGAAAGTTGAGTCTTAGGGATTAAGTTGTAGTATACTAGAGTTGAGAGGTAGAATAATGTAACAGATAAAAAGATGGACTGTGTGGCCAATCTGGGTTTCAGTCTCAGATTTCCCACTTCTTAGTTATGTGACCTTGTGCAAATTAACCTCTCTGTGCCTCAGTTTCCCCACCTGTAAGAATTCAGATGCTAATAATAGAAATGACCTATAGAATTGCTGGGGGAATTAAATGAGTAAATATATAACTGGCTCATAATTACTATATATTAGCTATTATTAACAGAGTGAGTAGTTAACCATCTTCAGCTGGGTGACAGGAACACCCATTTTGAACTCCAGCTCCATCACTATCTTACTCTGGAAACTTGGCCATGTGTATCAGTCAGGTTTCAATTAGAGAAACAGAACCACTAGGGGATTCTAACCTGAAACATACAGGAAAGGGAATTCTGGGAAACGTAGTTCAGCTGAGCCTAGTTGACAATTACAAAGACATCACACCATGCTACCTAGCTGCTCTGAGGGCTTATTTCCTTGTTGGTGAGATGGGACAGTAACACCTCTCTTTGGATTAAATGGGATAGAACACATGAAGCATTTGGGTCTGGCACAGGGAAGTGTTCAATAAATGGTTCTTAGCATAGCTGCTCAGGATCCCACAGATAATAACTGCCAGAGGAGTGATCTGAACTCACAGTTGTTGTCCCTAATGCCTAATGCTCCTCCCACTTCACCCTGCCACCTCCTGTGCTGGGCCTGAGAGTGTGGAAATGAGTAAGACAAGTCCCTGCTCTCAGGATCCCATATTTCAGTAGGGGGTAAGCCAGGGACACAAATAAATACAATATAGGTCAGGAAAAGGAAGGCAGACACCATTAATGGGGGATTTCTATAAGACTAGCTCTGAGCTGGATTCCCTATACAGGGGAAGGGAAGGATGCAAGGGTTGGGGGGTGAATGGTTTGCTGCATAGGTCCTCTGTGCCAGGCTCTGTAGTAGGAAGTTTACGTGATGATCACATTTAGTCTTCACAATTAAAGAATGAGCTAGATATTATCCCCGCAATACAGATAAGAGAACTGAGACCCTGAGAGATTAAGTCATTTGCCCTAGGTCACAGAGTGACCAAATGACAGAACCCCTGCATCCCAGGAGATGGCTAGAGTGCAGTGGAAGCTGCAGCTCAGGGTCTGTCCCCCGGGTCACTGCCAAAGAAGGGTACTCCCCCTGAGCTCAGAAGCCAGGGCTGGCTATTTAGCCCCCTCCCGGGCCTGCCCCTTGCACCTGTGTGTGCCCGTGGGCGGTGGGCCCGTGGTGGCTGCAGTGCCGTGGTGGTGGCAGCAGTGGCGGGCGGCAGCAGGGAGACAGTCACACCTCGCTGTTTTGTAAACTGTTTCTCACAGCTTGTTTGTTCCGGGTTAGGGCTGGAGCGGCACCGTATGGAAGTGTGACTCATTGTTTAATGTGGCAGCTCATTAGCAGAGCTTGTTGCTGCCTCTGATTTCTCTGCTCTTGCTAATTGGAGAGCCCAGTGGGGCCCTGGCTTCCCGTGAAGAACCAACCCAGCTTCCCCAGGGCTCTAGCTGGCCCTTGCCCCTCCAGGCTCCCTGAGGAGGCCACCCCATGCCTGTGGGCCCTGGGATCAGCCAGACTGGGTTCAAATCCCAGCTCATCCTGGCTGTGTAACCTGGGATAAAGCATTCCTCCTCTCTGAGCCTCAGTTTCCTTATCCACCTAATAATTGGGAAATAGCACCCACTTCCTCGGGGTAGGCTAGAGACACAGTAATAATGTGTGTAAAGTCCCCTGGTATGTATAGATGCTCAATAAGCAGTTTTGTAGTGTTATTATTATTAGGCTGAAACCTCAGAGAGCCCCTCTGTTTTGGCCTACCTGGGGCAGCCACCCAGCCCAGAGGTGCTCCAGAGGCTCAAGGTGTGAGGACCTCTTCCACTGCAGATAATCTAACACATTTCTTTCTTCCGTGCTTCACCCCTCCCAAGGCAAATCTGCCAAGGGGCCCCAAATGCCATTCCCTCTCTGTGACCCCAGAAAAGGAAGCACAGCCTGGCTTTGGAGGGCCCTGGGCCTTCCTTAAAGTGGAAGTCTGCTCCCTGGAGCTCTCCCTCAAATTTCAGCTCTCCTCTTTGAAGCCACACAGAACACATCTGTCCCCAGTGTCCCGTGACTGTCCTTTGCTATTTGAAGACAGTGATCACATCCCCTCTCCAAGTCTTCTCTCCAGGTGGAACATGTCCAGTTTCTTCAACTGTCCCTTAAATGACATAGCTCATATGCCTGCTGGACCATACCATCAGTGGTGACCTTAGAGTTGTGCAATGCCGTGACCTCATTCTGAGTCCCTTCCCCAACCTCCTCATGCTCTGAGTCTACTCCTCTTTGCTTAGGTGCCTCCTGAGATGTGCAGTCTAGAATTCAGCTCAGTCCTCTGAACACGATAGGGCAGCCCCATCTCCTACTACGTCAAGACCTGTGCTATCCAGTGATAATATAATGTGAGCCATGGGTATAATTTTAAATTTTCTAGTGGCTGCCTTAATAAAAGGAGCTGGGCATGGTGGCATGCGCCTATAATCCCAGTGCTTTGGGAGGCTGGGGTGGGAGGATTGCTGGAGCCCAGTAGTTCAAGGCTGCAGTGAGCTATGATTGTGCCACTGCACTCCAGCCTGGGCAACAGGGTGAAATACCATCTCAATAAATAAATAATAAATAAGCACCCATCTTTTTTAAAAAGTAAAAAGAAATAGGTAACATTAACTTAAAAAATATTTTCACTTAACCAAATGTAGTCAAAATGTTATTTCAGCATGTAATCAGTATCAAAAAATCATTCATGAGATACTTGAAACCTTTTTTCATACAAAATGTTCAAATCCGGTGTGTTTTTATACTTAACAGAACATCTCATTTGGACTAGCCACGTTTCAGGTGCTCGGGAACTCCACGGAATTAGTGGCTCCAGTGCTGAGCAGTGCCGTCCAGACTCTACCTTTGTTAACATGATCTGAACTGCTGTGGTGTTGTAGCTGACACATCACTCTGGTTCAGGAGGAAGGAGTCATCAAGTGCCTAAGGGCTGGGGCCTCTGGGTGGTAGGCAATCGCGACCCCAGTCTTGGTTTCATCATTAGTTCACTATGTATGTGATGTCGCTCTTCCTTTCCAGGCCTCAGCATCCTCATCTGACAATCACGAGGTGGGAAGAAGAAAGCAGCGCCTGCTCGGTGCCAGGAACCCCCCGGGGCGCTCCCCATGTGCTGTGTTACATGTTTCTTGGAAAGCCCACTGTTTTAGGTTTTCTTATCTCTGTTTCATTCCCACTTGACCCTGAGACTTCCTCCAGGGCCTTGTGGACTCATAGCTGGTGTGTTGGTTGCTTCTGCCCTCCTGGCCACCATGGATACCAGTGGGCTCAGTTTTAGGCATGCAGCCCTCAAACCTCTTCCCTTCCTTGTCATGACTCTTTCCCTAAGTCGTAGACTAAGGACAGTGATGGCAGTGTTTTGATACGTGTCTGCAGGTGGCGGGCTCCTGCTGGATGAAAACGCCTCTGCCTGCCCAGGTGTCTGGTCTGTCACTTGCAGAGCCGTCCCTTCATGGTGGTGGTTGTGAGGCCAGGTCCCAGCCCCTCCCTGTGCCTGGTACTGTTCTGCTAGAATGTATTAGAGTGAAACCCAGACATCACATTGCCCACAGCTTCCTCCCTCATTGGCTTCCTCCCCAACTCCTCACATCCAGCTTACTTCTCCTTCCTGACCACAGGCACTCGTTCCCGTCCAAGAGCCACCTGTGTGACTTTGAGAACATCACTTCACTTGACAGAATCTCCGTGTCCATGTGTGAGATAGAGGAGAATTCCACCTTCCTCCTGAGGTTGGTGAGAATGACAACTGAGACTGTGTGATATGTGATATGTGACCGTGCCTCGCTCAGTACTTGGGGTAAATGTTAACTGTGACTGAATCTTTACCAGTCATTTTAAGAACAACTTAGCCTTACTCTCCTAACCTGAACCCTCTCTGGGGCTCCTCTGTGAGCTCTGCATGGCTTTCCTCTCATTCCCCAGCCATCTGGGTCTTTCTAGACTAGCCGGGAAAGCACCCCATCACTTCTGAACAGGGAGCTAATTGGCAGATGCCCACTTCCTTCCAGGAAAAGCCACTAAATCATGGTGCTGAAGGGGAGCTTGGTGGTCATGCTGGGGATACCCCATCACCAAGACAAACCGTCTTCGAAAATAAGACAGATGTGACTTCTACTGTGAATCTGTCTTTTCTTTTTCTTTTTCTTTCTTTTTTTTTTTTTTGAGACAGTCTGACTCTGTCACCCAGACTGGAGTGCAGTGGTGCGATCTTGGCTCACTGCAAGCTCCACCTCCCGGGTTCACACAGTTCTCCTGCCTCAGCCTCCTGAGGAGCTGGGACTACAGGCGCCTGGCACCATGCCCGGCTAATTTTTGGTATTTTTAGTAGAGACGGGGTTTCACCGTGTTAGCCAGGATGGTCTCAATCTCCTGACCTCGTGATCCGCCGGCCTCGGCCTCCCAAAGTGCTGGGATTACAGGCGTGAGCCACTGCGCCCGGCCTACTGTGAATCCTTCTAAAGTCCATTATACCCTTCCCTGTGTTTCCAAAAGAAGGGTAACTGACCTGAATGTAACTTTTTCTTGGTGATTCAGGACCATCATTAGGGATCAATATTTTTATATTAAAATAGTGGAGAACACTAACCTTTGAGTGCCCATTGTATACTGGGTATCTTATGATGTCATCCAATTCTTATGCAACCCTGATATAAAGTTTGGATATTATCTCCTTTTTGCAGATTAGGAAACTGTCTCAGAGCTATTTAGAGGCCTGCCAGGGTTTCACGGTCTCATACAGAGAGGTTCAGCCCCTCTCTTCCTCTACATTGCCTTTCGAGAGCCTTGAGGTTCCATTTTGAGGGCCCCTGGCTGACTCACAGTTCTTACGTGAGCTTTACAGGTTGGCCTTGCTTGGCTGGGCGCTGGTAGTATATACTCAGGGCAGTCACTGCCTCACTTTTTGGCCTGCACTGGCCTGAGAAAGCATGTACTGTAGCATATGCTTTTAGGCCTTTGATTTCTTGACCTTTCCATGACATATGTGCTATTTACTAGTTCCTTCTTTAACCACTCTCTTCTGGTTCTCATGAGTTCACTCTTTCTGAGCTTACTGGCTGCTCCTTCCCAGAAGCTTCCAGTCTGCCCTGGTTTTGCTCCCCCTAACATCTTGGTGTTCTTCAGCAGCCCCCTTTGGCTCTCTGTTCTTTTCATATTCTGCTCCAGCATCACCCTTGGGGTCTTCACTCCCCACCAGCCATGGTTTCACCACCTCTGTGCCAAGGACTTCCAAGTTTACACCTCCTGTCCAGACCTTTGCTCAGAGTTCCAGACTGTGGCCTCATGACCACTACCATATCAACTGCCTGCCAAATGGACTTCTTCCCTGGCTGACCCACTGGCACACAAACTCAGCTCCCCCAAACTGAATCCATCATCTTCCTCTGAAGCATCCACCCCTTCTTGTGATCTCTGTCTCAGTAACCACCCCTTCCCTCTGCCCCATGCCTTATAATAATACCGGCTAATATTTCTCAAGGGCTTACAAAATGCAGCCTCTGTGCTAAGTGATTCCATGGCTCTCACTTGATCCTTAATCAATCCGGAGAGGTTGGCATTATTTGATTGTCATCCTCATTTCACAGATGAAAAGAGGGAAACAGAAGTTCCTGGCACATGGTAGGCACTTGACAAGTGCTGGTTCTTTCTATGGCTTTTTGTTTCCCAACTATCTAAATTCATAAATTAAATCCACTATTCTCTTTTTTTTTTTCTGGGTCTGTTTTTTTTTTTTAATTTTTATTTTTGGTTCTGGGGTACATGTGCAGGATGTGCAGGTTTGTTACACAGGTAAACGTGTACCATGGTGGTCTGCTGCACCTATCTATGTATTAAGCCCGCATTAGCTATTCTTCCTGATGCTCTCCCTCCTCCAATCCACCCACCGACAGGCCCCAGTGTGTGTTGTTTCCCTCCCTGTGTCCATGTGTTCTCATTGTTCAGCTCCCACTTACAAGTGAGAACATGCGGTGTTTGGTTTTCTGTTCCTGTGTTAGTTTGCTGAGGATAATGACTTCCAGCTCCATCCACGTCCCTGCCAAGGACATGATCTCATTTCTTTTTATGGCTGCATAGTATTCCATGGTGTATATGTACCACATTTTCTTTATCCAGTCTATCACTGATGGGCATTTGGGTTGATTCTAATGTCTTTGCTGCTGTAAATAGTGCTGCAATGAACATATGCGTGCATGCATCTTTGTAATAGAACGATTTCTATTCCTTCGGGTATACACCCCGTAATGGGATTGATGGGTCAAATGGTATTTCTGGTCCTAGATCTTTGAGGAATCACCACACCGTCTTCCACAATGGTTGAACTAATTTATGTTCCCACCAACCGTACACAGCAGCTGTTCCTACCTGGGACATCTCTGGGTGTCCAGCTTGCTCAGTGACTCTAGCTTGGTAAATGAATCACCCAGGCTGGCTTCTTGTTCTGAGATATCTCATCCAAAGATCTTTCCCAGCTGAACTGAGACTCTGCCTCAGGAGGCAGCTGCTGTTGGTGAAGACAGGCAATGTGCAGAGAGTTACACAGGAACCCAATATGAGGCATGCAGCCACTAAACCTGCCCTTCCTCTCTGCCACTCCTCCCTCAAGTAACACCCTCAGGCAGGTGATAGCAGTTTTCAGGGTGTTTTTTCAGGTGGTGATCTGCTAGATGAAAACTGTTCTACCTACCCAGGTGTCTGGTCTGTCACTTCAGAGCTGTCCCACCCCGATAGTGGTCGTGAAGCCAGTTCTCAGCTCTTCCCCTGTTACTATTACCACTATTGTCACTGTCATCCTCACGACAATCCTGTGAAGTAGGTTTTTTTTTTTTTTTTTTTTTTTGAGACAGAGTCTTGCTCTGTCCCCCCAGACTGGAGTGCAGTGGCATGATCTCGGCTCACTGCAATCTCTGCCTCCCGGGTTCAAGAGATTCTCATGCCTCAGCCTGCCAAGTAGCTGGGACTACAGGCACTTGCCACCATGCCTGGCTGATTTTTTTTGTAGTTTTAGTAGAGACAGGGTTTCACCATGTTGGCCAGGCTGGTCTTGAACTCCTGACCTCAAGTGATCCACCCGCCTCAGCCTCCCAAATTTCTGGGATTACAGGCGTGAGCCACTGTGCCTGGCTGAAGTAGATATTATCAATGCTACCTTATAGCTAAGAAAATTAGGGCTCAGAGAGGCAAAGTGACTTTGCCAAGGACACAGAGCTAGAGCCAGGATCTAAACCAGGCCTGTCAGGCTCAGAGTATGTATGCTTTCCACATTAAGTTTCAGGGAGTTCATTTGGTCAAGGAGAGTAAAACTAAGTTATTCTTAAACTGACTGTAAAATGTAGGCATCCAAAAAAAAATAAGTCTTGTGAAGAAAAAGTCACAATGAACATTTACCCTAAGACGAGCGTTGTGCAGACACTGGGCAAGACACGTTCACGCATAGGGCCTCACTTGTCACTCCCACCAGCCCTGTGAAGAAGGAGGAATTCTCCACCATTATCCCAGGCCTGGAAATGGAGATTCTGTCAAGTGCAGAGATTTGTTCAAAATCCCACAGGTGACAGGGGATGCCCTGGGATTGGAAGGTGAGTCTTTGAGACTCCAAGCCCAGTGCTCACTCCTCCCACAAGACTGTGGTCAGAAATGAGGAGCTATGGCAAATAAAGTGGAAGGGGGGAGGTTTGGATGACGTGGTATCTGGAGTTTTACTTTATTATTTTTTAATTTTTTATTGAAACAGGGTCTCACTCTGTTGCCCAGGCTGAAGTGCAGTGGCACAATTATGGCTCACTGCAACCTCGACCTTCTAGGCTCAGGAGATCCTCCCACTTCAGCTTCCTGAGTAGTTGGGACCACAGGTGTGTGCCACCATGCTCAGCTAATTTTTGTAGAGACAGGGTTTTGCCATGTTGCTCAGGCTGGTCTCAAACTCCTGAGCTCAAGCGATCTGCCTGTCTCAGCCTCCTGAAGCACTGGGATTACAGGTATGAGCCACTATGCCCAGCCTAGAGTTCCACTTTAATATATCTGGTAGAGCAGGAACAGGCACAAAAATCAACTTTTTTAGTTAGGGAAACTGAGGCTTAGAGAAGGACAGCTGGAAAGTAGAGATGCTGGTATTTTGCTTGAATCTGTCTGACTTTTAGGCTTTTGCTCTCTTCACCACTCCACACTGTGGTTGCCAAAGCCAGACACCTCCTCCTTCTGACAATCTCTTCTCCAAGCCACAGCCTGAGGTCCACTGGGAACTCTGGGTCTTTTTCTCTCAGGTGGAAAAGATTTGAGCCTCTTTGCCTTACAACCCCTAATAGTGTCAGGCACTGTACTAGGTAATTTACAAGCATTTATTCATTTAATTCCCATAACAAGCCTGTGAGGTAGAAACTACTATTATCCCCATTTTTATGATGAAGGATCTCATGCCTGGAGAGGCCATATGATTAGAAGTGAGGGAATGGAATTTGCATTGGAGACTGACTCCAGACCAAGTTCTTCACTGCCGGGGTTGAGTGTAGATTTCACTCTCTGAGGTATATAATGCATGAGACCTAAAGACCAGAGTCCAAAGTCCCAGCTACCCTGTCCCTATCCATGAATTCCCACCCCCTCCTAAAGACACCCCTCATGCCCATCTTAACACCATGGATTAAGTCCTACTTCAGTTAGAGACTTCCTTTGGCCACCTTCGTACCTAATCCAGCTCTCACAATTACCCTCAAGAGAGGCATTATTGCTTCCATTTTCCTGAGGAGGCAGTTGAGGCCCTAGGGTCTCACAGCGTGGGTGTCAAGCTCCGAAACCACCTGTCTCTCTCTCTAAGACTCTTGCTCTCCCTGCTGGGGAGCCATGCGGGAGCCTGGGAAATCAGCTACTCCAAATCACGATTCCTGAATTCTGCCCCTGCCCATGTGCCTGACCCCCTCCCCACACGGAGGAGGGGCATTGGCTCAGTGATGTCCAAGGCTCCCTCTTTATCTCACAGCATTGGGTGCTGTCTTCATGACTCCATCAGGGCCCAGCTCTGGCAGAGGACCAACCTCCTGAGTACATACGGCTGACCTTCAGGCAGCTCTGGCCACCCCTGTGGCTCCACAGGGGTCCCAAGTCACATCCCTTCTCAGGGGAGGCCAATTCCCCTACCTCTGATTTCTGTGGGACCCTGGGACCTTCTCCAAGGCCCTTTCCATCAGACTCCATGTCTTCCTATCCCTTGCACTCATCAGGCCTGTCCTGGGGCGGTGGAAGTCACAAGGCCAGGCTGCTGGACCACACACTTGGCACCAAGTCACTGGACTTTTCACCGAGGCTCTGGTTGGGGCACTCATTCATTAATTATTCACTCAAGTACATGCCTTCTCTAGCAACTCTTCTTTTTCCCTTCAGTATTTTTAAATTTATTATAAAAATATTCAACAATATAAAACTATATAAAGTAAAAGGGGAGGCTTTCCTCAATCCACAATATCACTCTTGATTGGAACTAACTACTCTTAACAGATTTGGGGAATCCTTCCAGAAATGTCTATATGTGTGCATATATATGTGCAAATATAATGCACATGTGTAGTATTTACAGTCATGTAATCATATGACACATGTTACCTAGCATGCAATAGGCACTGTGACTTTTCCATCACTTCCTTTCTTCCTGAGTGTTGTCTCAGAACCACCTTTCTGTGTTAGTCCATAGAAGTCTACTTTATTACTTTTGAGGGCTGCGTAGTTTTTCTCTGTGTAATTGTGCCAACAGCACAATCTCCTTCAGATGACCTTCAGTGTTTTCCTATTACAACTATGGCTGTCACTTCCTGAGTTCCTATCATGTGCCTGTCACTACGGGAGGCCCTTTATGTACTCTTTTTTTTTTTTTTGAGACAGGGTCTCGCTCTGTTGCCCAGCATGGAGTGTGCAGTGGCTCACTGCAATCGTGACCTGCTAGGCTCAAGTGATCCTCCCACTTCAGCCTTCCAAGTAGCTGGGACCACACGTGCGCACCACCAAGCCTGGCTAATTTTTGTATTTTTTGTAGAGACAGGGTTTTGCCATGTTGCCCATGCTGGTCTCGAACTCCTGAGCTCAAGGGATCCACCTGCCCCAGCTTCCCAAAGTGCTGGGATTACAGGTGTGAGCCACTGTGCCTGGCCTACATACATTTTTTTAATGATATGGCATTCTTATTCTTGGATACTTCATGCCCAGCATATAATAGGTGCTCAGGAAATTACTGGAAGACCTAGCTCAAATGTTTCACCTCTGTGAAGCCTCTTATATTCCCTTTCCCTGTTCCCTCCCATCTCCCATTCAGGTCCTGCACTGGGCCTGACAGAGGAATGAGCAAGGCAAAGACCCTGGCTAGAGAAACTCACAGACTATAAACAGGCCTGGAAACAGAAAATTACAGCAGAGAATGGGAACAAGAAGCATACACCAGGAACATAGGAAGACTGACTGATACATTTGTGATGGTTTCTCGTATGTGTTAGCTTGACTGGGCCAAGGGGTGCCCAGATGAGATGTTATTTCTGGGCGTGTCTGTGAGGGTGTTTCCAGATGAGATTAGCCTCTGAGTTAGTGGACTCGGTAAAGTAGATTGAGCTCCCGAATGTAGGTGGGCATCATCCAAACTGTTGCAGGCCTGATTAGAACAAAGAGGAGGGAAGGAGAGGATTTGTCTCCTTCCTGCCTGCCTGCTGCTTGAGCTGGGACATCGGTCTTCTCCTGCCCTTGGACTGGCATTTATACCAGCAGTTCCCCTGGTTCTCAGGCACTTGGGGTTGGGCTGGAAACAATATCACTGGCTCTCCTGGACCTCCAGCTTGCAAGGGCAGACTGTGGAACTTTTTAGCCTCCATAACTTCTCAGTCTCCATAATTGTGTGAGCCAGTTTCCTCATTATCTATCTATCTATCTATCTATCTATCTATCTATCTATCTATCTATCATCTATCTATCTATCTATTCATCAATCAATCTGTTTAATCTATCTCCAGTTGGCTCTGTTTCTCTGGAGAAACCTAAGGCATCATCCAAAGTGATCCAAGGAGGCTTCTTAGAAGAGGTGACAGACAAGCTGACTTTCAAAGGCGTTGGTCAGGGATGTGAGAAAGCTGCCTGAGTTCTGTCTCACCCTGTATGTGGATTGACTTCCTGTATCTGTACTACTTTTCCTCCCTCATCATTTATGCCTCTACTTCCATAAAAAGGGATTTGGGTAGATTCTGATTTTTATAAAATGACACATACAATAAAAATACAACCATTAAGTAAGGAAAAGAAGTAAGAACTTTGTAATACAACGGGAAAAGAGAATGAACTACAAACCTACACTTAGAATAGTTCCTGTGTTTGATACAAGATTTAACTCTGTGCTTCCCAGCAGGCAAGAAGGTAGCATATCTGCACACATTGCAATGTGGGGACGGAGGGCCCATCCAGTGACATCAGGAGAGCGCTTGCTCACCCACCCCCTCTCTATTGATTTGTTCACTGTGTTAATGGCTCCCTTTTGTGTTTGGCTGGTCAGTGTTTTGAATTGGTCTTTAATTATATCTCATGCAAATGACTAAGGCATATGGAGAGGTTGTGGAGCCAAAAGTTTAGAAGCACCTATTATGTGCCACTCCTACTACTCTTCTCTGCAACATAAATAGAGGAAACTGAGGCTCGGAGGAGTTAAGTAAAACACTGGTCAAGTTGGCCCAGGGGCCCACATCTCCTGACCCCAGCATAGGCTCTTTATGAGTTTGGATGGATGAGATCTTTGGATGAGATATCTCAGAACAAGGAGCCAGCCTGGGCAATCCGTTTGCCAAGCTAGAGTCACTGAGCAAGCCAGACACCTACAGATGCCACAGGTAGGAACAACTGCTGTGTACTCTAGCTCAGCTTGAGAATAGTTGGTTTAATTTATGAATTTAGATGGTTGAAAAACCAAAAGCCATAGAAACAATCAGCACTTGTCAAGTGCCTACTATGTGCCAGGAACTTCTGTTTCCCCCTTTTCATCTGTGAAATGGGGATGACAGTAAAATAATGCCAACCTCTCCTGATTGATGAAGGATCAAGTGAGAGCCATGGAATCACTTAGCACAGAGGCTGTACTTAATATGTTCTTGAGAAATATTATTGTTATTTTCTTTTGTCTCTTTTTTTTTTTTTTTTGAGATAGAGTCTCGCTGTCACCCAGGCTGGAGTGCACCGGCACAATCTCAGCTCACTGCAACCTCTGCCTCCCAGGTTCAAGTGATTCTCCTGCTTCAGCCTCCCAAGTAGCTGGGATTACTGGCGCCCACCACCAGCCTGGCTAATTTTTGTATTTTTAGTAGAGACAGGGATTCACCTAAAGTGCAGGCGTGAGCCACCGTGCCCGGCCCACCTCAGCCTTCTGAGTAGCTAGACCACAGGCACTGGCCACTGTGTCTGGCTAAGTTTTTGATTTTTTTGTAGGGACATTGCCCAGGCTTGTCTGGAGTTCCTGGGCTCAAGTGATCCCACCACCTCGAGCTCCCAAAGTGCTGGGATTATAGGCGTGAGCATGTTGGCCAGGCTGGTCTCGAACTCCTGACCTCAAGTGATCCACCTACCTCGGCCTCCCAAAGTGCTGGGATTACAGGCATAAGCCACCACATCCAGCCTGTCATTATTATTATTATTATTATTATCATCCTCACAATAGTCCTGTGCTGTTGCTGCCAACGCCAGTGTTGTCTTACTGCTAAGGAACTGAGGCTCAGGGAAATGAAATGTCCAAGGTCACCAAGTTACAGCCGGGATTCTAACCCAAGCCTTTTGGGCTCAATTCCTGCACTCTCCATGTTAAGGGACAGAGGCCAGGAGATCAGGAGATAAAAATGAAGGTTCAGGAAAAGCATGTTAGGCAGGTAGGCCTAGGATAAGCACGCACGGCATGAGGTCTTTCTACTGGGTGAGAGGGCCTCTGAACGGCAGCTGCAGAGAGAATGTGGGCGGCACACGTGGCTGGCCTGGGCCCTGCGGGTAAGAGTTGTGGTCATAGTGGTGGGGCCCTGCTCAGGCCATGCCTAGCACCCAGAGGAGCAGCAGAGAAGTGACTGCAAAGCAGCCTGGGGCCGGAACCAGGTCCCAGGGCGGTCAGACCAGCTGAGGGACTATCGGCTGGTTGATGAGAGTTTACAAAGGGTAGGATGACAGCATTGGTGGGGACCACATTTTTGGCTTGTCCTCACTTACTCTAACCCAAATATTAAATTGCAGTAATTAAAAGTAGAAGTTAAGGGTGTGGGCTAAGCATGTTTCACACAACACAAAGGGGAGAAGAGGGCATGCCCCCTCTCTGCCAACCTGTCTGCTCCATTTGGCCTGGGAAGTCTGTGCCCCACTTATTTGGCAACACCCACCTGTGCAGGCAGCAACCAGGTGAGAGAAAGCAGCTGTAGCCATGAAAGCGTTGGCTTCGGGGCTGGAAAATATGGGCTGAGGTTCTGGCTCTGTGACCTGGGGAAATTTATTTTACTTCTCTGAGCCTCTGCTGTCCCTTCTAAAATAATCCCAGGCTCTAGGATTAATTTAGGATCAAGTGAGAGCCAGGGACTCACTTTGCATAAAGGGTGCACTTAGTAAGTGCTTTGATACATTATTTTCTCGTCATTGTCTTAGTCACGTGGGCTGCTATAACTGGGTAGCTTATAATCAACAGAAATGTGCCTCTCACCTTTCTGGAGCCTGGAAAGTCCAAGATCCAGGTGCTGGCAGATTCAGTGTCTGGTGAGGGCCTGTATTCTGGTTCATAGACTTTGACTTTTTGGTCCAACCTCACATGACAGAAGGGGCAGGGGGTCTCTCTAGGGCCTCTTTATAAAGGCACAAATCCCATTCATAACGGCTCCAGCCCCAAGACTTAATCACCACACAAAGGCCCCACCTTCTAATACCATCACCTTGCAGGTGAGGATTTTAACATATTAATTTTGGGGCGGACTTAAACGTTTCGACCATAGCAGTCATTATTATTATCATTCTCACAATGGCACTGTGAAGTTTCCTCAGGAGTGCTGCCTCAGTTTCCCCATCTGCAATGGGAATAGCTGTGGCTACTCCAGAGTGTGGCTTTCAGGATTAAATAAGATGGAACACACAACACAGTGCCTGGCACACAGGAGGCCTTTCCTCCCTCCCTCCGTCAGCCACTTCTGCAGGGCTGGTTGTTCTAATTATCTTAATTCACCAGGAGGCGCCAGCCTCTCTACCAGGGTTCCCTGTGTGGTGGGGCCCTGAGACCAACAGTCAAGTTGAGGAGGTGGTGACGCTGGCCATGCATCTAGAGGACACAGGGCAAGGCCAAGCTGTCAGCCAGAGAGAGAAATACTTACAATTTTTCAGAGGCCACATAGCTCCTTCCCTACCTCATTATCTCCTTTTATTCTTGTACCTCCTCTGGGGGAGTGGGATAGATGTGATCTTCATTTTGCAGATGGGGAAACTGAGGTAAGTAACCATTCCATGGCTACACAGTGGGTCCTTAATGGAGCTGGTACTAGCTACCTCCTTCCACAGTCACCTACCAGTGCTGGGGCTATGGCCGCCAAGGGGAGAAGCAGCAAGTCTGGGGGGTCCTCACAAGTGGAGGCTTACTGACTTGGGAAGGTCCACTGCCTCCATGGCCTGGTGGGGATTGGGAGGGCCTGGTGGGAGGAGGGAAGCTGGAAGGGGTAGCTTTCTCCTAGAAAGCTCACTCCCTTTTCAGTGACTTCTTATAGTGATGGTTGTGTCTTTAGAGTTCCAAACTAGTATTTTGCAAGGAGGTCTCAAGACTCTGTGAACATCACCCTCAGATGGAAGCTTCGAGAGTATCTGCCTAGGTCCTCCACCCATTTGACTGATGAGGCAACAGAGTTCCAGAAAGAAGTGACTTAGCCAAGAGCAGGGCCAGTAGCAGAATACTGCAGCCCAGTGTTTTCACACCACTGTTGGAGGCCCTGGGGACAGGACAATCCAGAGGAGAGGACATTTGGGCAGGACATGGCAGGCAGTGAGGCCACAGTGAGATACTAGGTCTTATTCTGCCGGGCACTGCCATCAAATCATCACTTATCTTTTCCCTGCAACAACCCTGGGAGGTCGAGGTTGTTGTCCTCACGTTACAGGGTAAGAAACAAGACGACTCAGAGAAGGCCAAAGTCAAATAGCTTCTTCGTGAAGGAGGCAGAATTCAAATCTGGACCTGCCTGTCTCCAAATCCTACACATTTTCTATTACATCTCTTGCAATGGGTTCCATAGTGGCCCCCCAAAATTCTTGCCTTTCCAGGAACCTCAGAATATAGACTTGTTTGAAAATAAAGTCTCTGCAGATATAATTAGCTAAGTTAAAATGAGGTCATTCTAGAATGGAATGGGCCCTAAATCCAATATGGTAGGTGTCATTACAAGAATAGGAAAGATACAGAGATGGACAGGAGATTGCCATGTGAAGACACAGGCGGGGAAGAACACCATGTTGAGACCGAGGCAGAGACTCGAATGATGCGTCTACAAGACAAGAAACATGCAGGATTGCTGGCAACTGCACGAAGCTAGAAGAGGCAAGGAAGGATTCTCCCCTAGAGCCTTCAGAGACAGTGTGGTCCTGCCAACACCTTGATTTCAGACTTCTAGCTTCCAGAACTGTGAGACAATAAATTCCTATTGTTTTAAGCCACCCAGTTTGTGGTACTTTATCACAGCAGTGCTAACAAATTAATATACCTCCTTCCCATGGTACAGAAGGGGGGTGACATACAGGCATCTTAGCTCCCAGGTGTGGTCCTGCCGAAATTTAGACTATCAGGACAAACCCAAGGCAGAGGAGGAGGACGAAGGACATGTGATGTTTGACATACTCTTTGCAGGGCTTTGTGCTTGGCACTTCACATATGGGATCTTGATGTAAGTGCAGCCATTCCCATTTCCCAGATGAGGAAACTGAGACTTAGAAAAGGGAAGTTACTTGCCCCAAGCTCATTTTTTCCCTGCCCCGCGGTGCTATGCAAGGAGCAAACCCAGACTCTAGTTTGAGTTCCAGGGAAGTAAGTTACTCACTTCCCTTCTCTCAGCCTCACTTTCCCCATCCAGAAAATGGGAATAATACTTTCTGCCTCTCAGGTGGTTGTGATTTCTTTTCACATCCCTTCACTCAACAGATATTTACAGAAGGTCTCCTCTGTGTCAGCCTCTGCTCTAGGCCCCAGAGACACAGCAGTGAACGAGATGTGCCCAGTTCTTGCTCCTAGGAGTCTGATTCTTTTGGGTAATGCCTGTCAGGTGCTCCACAGGGGCCAGCACTTAGTGAGTGCTTGGGGAACCTTATGGGGATAAGAATATAGGATTGAATGGGATGGTGTGCAGAATGGGCTTGGCCTGTAAGAGGAGCTCACTTTGGCATTCATTTCTTAATCACTATGCCAGTGATTCTCTACCCTGCCAGTGGTGGTACAGCCTCCTGGACAAGGAAGGTACAAGGTCCTTTGGGCCTGGGCTCCATGTTCTTGGGCACCCAGCAGTCGCTGCTGTAAGCTGCCTCCCCAGAGCCAGCAGAACTCTCTGCCCAGGCCTGGTCTGTGGTCTGTGCAGGCCGCCGAAGGGGCCTTGGGTCTTCTTATAGGGGCTGCATTGCTGCACTGTCCCCCTCAGCTGAGCCTCCTCAGCTCAGCCCCACCCACTCCCTGTCACTGTCCCTGCAGGGGCCAGGCCTGAGCCTGTCCTGGAGGCGCTCCCAGCTGTCCTGATATCCCCTCTGGCTTCTGCAGACACTCCCCCTTTCTGCCCCTGGAGGCCTCCTCTGGTCACCAGCCCCTTCCCCTCCCCTCCAGAGGTGTCCCCAGACATCATCTCTGTGCTATTCCTTTTTCCTGGCAACGGTGGCATTAAATATCAGCCAGGCTCTGCTCAGTGCTGGCAGGGTGGGGGTTCTTGATAACCATGTGGTTTAGGGGAGGGTCTTCTCAAGCTCCTGCATGATGGGCTAGGAATGATTGGGTTGATTGTGGTCTGGCTCTGTTCCCAACTCACTGCACTTCCTTGAGCAAACCTCTTCCTTCCCAGACCTGGGTTTCTCTGAGAGGCAGCCCTCTCTGCTTTCAGCCGGGGGTATGAGGACCAGGGCACACAGGTCCTGAGCAAGTGGCAGCAGCCAATCCCAGGATGGCTGACTTTTTCCAGGTGGGCTCTGGGGATGCAGCGCAGCTATGCCCATCAAGCCTCAGAGAAGCGCGTCCTCCTGTCCTCACTTGCCCTGAGTGAGCCGGGAAAGCTGGCAGCAAGCACTGGGAAGCAGGCTCTGGCGGGCCCTGATGGCTCAGCGGTGGCAGCAGCAGTGGTGGCAGGGGCTATTCTGAGCGCTGGGAGGGGCTGGGGAGCTGAGACTGGAGGAGGGGAAGTGACAGGGAGGAGACAGTCTCTTGAGGGCGAGGGGAGTGCCACCTTAGCCCCGGGTGGGGGGTGTCTGCCGATGGCAGTGTGTGTTGGGAGAATTGTGTGGTGTGTGCTCCTCACTGGGAGTGGGCGAGTCAGCTGAGGTATTGAGGCATGCGCTGGGATTGTTTGAGTGTATGTGTACAAGTTTTGTGATCCAAGCACGAGTTGAGTGGGTAACGCGCACATCCACCTGCCTGTGGGCAAGTGAGTGCGCGTGCACTGGAATGCGAGCATGTTCCAGTGTCCAGGGAGGTGTGAGTGAAGAATATGTGCCTGCATGTGGAAAAACGAGGAATGAAAGGGGAAGCAAGTGGGGGCTTGTTTGTGAACAGAAATGAATGTGGGCGTGGTAGGGAGGGTGGATGGGAGCTTGAGAGCCAGCCTGGGGGAGCGGGGAAGGGTGAGAGCTGGTGGTCAAGGGAACTGTAGGTAGAAACCATGGGTCTGTGTAATTGAGACACAAGCGTGAGGCACGTGGCGAGTGTGCTTGTGAGTGAGCCTACATGTGTGAGCGGCTGTGAGTGTGTGCATGGTAAGAGCAGGTGGGACTGTATGAGCTGGGCAAAGTAGGAAGGGAAGGTATGTACACACAAAAGCAGCAATAAAAACAGCTAGCATTTATTGCGCGCTTATTCTGAGCCTGGTGCTCACATTCATAAATGTATTTAATTTTTCAAATATCCTGTGAAGGTAGTGCTATTATGGTAGTCATTTGTAGAGTAGGAAAGAGTGGCTTTGAGCAGTTATGTATCTTGCCCATGCTCTTAATCACTATGTTATACTGCCTCAAAATGAATGTGTGAGCAGGGGCCAAGTTGTGAGTGAGAAGAATGTGAGTGTGTGCCATTGGGTGTGAGTTTGAATGTGTGTGTGTGTGTGTGTGTGTGTGTGTGTAGGAGCTGAGTGTACCAGACATGGGCCTCAGAGGAGAGTCCAGGCAGCAGCTGTGGACACCGGGCAGGGCAGGGGCCTGAGTCAGCCTCTAGTGCATCTCTGCCAACCTGGCTTCCCAGACCCATGTTGGCAGCCTGTGCCAGGGCCCCCAGCTAAGGATCCTCCCAGCAATGGTATGGCCCTCAGCAGGCCTCTGCCTCACAGCTCAGAGCTGGGCCAGGGCCGCAGACTGGCGGGAGGCTTGCTCGGTCTCCAGGGTCCCTTAGGGGAGCAGCTCCCAGTATGGACTCCCCAGGCATGGAGGGCATACGAGTGATGTGGTGGTGGGGGGTGGATTCAGCAATGATTTCAGGCTCCTTGTGACTCTAAACAGAATCACCTGGAGGATGTGTGTATGTGTATGGATCGGAGGGGTCGTCAGCCAGCACTTCCCATGCCCACCCTTGCCTTGGGATATGACTCAGGCAAATGCCACGCCAGGCATCTGCAAGCAAGTCCTGCTCCCACCCTAGGGAATGAGGAGGGGCTCCTCCAGCCCCACCCCCACCCTCACCCTTGGCCCTGCTCCTCAGGTCCTAAACTGGAAGGAAGAAATTTTTGAGAAAGGAGGCCATCTCCCATGGCCTGGGCTCAGCCCTCCCACTGCCCAGAGACCTTCGCATCTCCAGCGTCCTCAGGAGCAAGGTACTGGCTGGTAAAGAAATCAGGAGCTTGAGATTCCAGTCCTGGCCATGCCACCAGGGGAATCACCTGCTCATTCTGGGCCTCAGTTTCCTGATTGGCAAAATAGGAATATTGTGCTAAAGGGGCACAAGGTGTTGCTGGCAGCTCAACAAGTGGTCTGGGCAAGCAGAGAACAGAAAGTGTTGGGAGTTGGGGCTAGAGAAGGTGTCAGGGCTAAGTTGACATTTGCACGGAGCTTTGAAGAGTGGGAGAATCTCTGATGAGGGCCTTGCGGCGGGGAAATGGTGTTCTAGGCAGAGGGGATAAATACCCTGAGCGAAGGCCAGCAGGTGCAGTGGTGACTGGGAAACCTAGCTCAGCAGCCTGTAGGATGAGGCCACGGACTGCCCAACCTCTCGGCTAGCCTCGCCCTTCTGAGCTCATGTGATGATCTGATTAGCATCTGACTCCTGACTAGTCTATGCAGTAGGGGACCTCATTTGTTTCAGTTGCTGCTCTCACTGTAGAGCCCTGGACAGTGCCTGGTGCGTCAGAGGTGCTCAATAAATATCCAGGAACTGATTGAGAAGCATCTCCCCAAACACTGTGAACTTTAGACAAGTGCTTGTTCCAACAACCGCAGTAAGAACCTCCCACAGACTCTAAAACAATGGTTTGCAAGGTGTGGTCTCTCGTGCATCACCTGGGAGCTGGTTAGAAATGCAAAGTCTGGGGCCCCAACCCAGACCTGCCGAATCAGAAACTCTGGAGTTGGGGTCCAGCAATGTTAACAAGCTCTAGGGGATGATTCTGCTCTGCGTCAAACTTTGAGAACTGGAGCTCTAAAACTATGACCACAGGCACCATGAAGAACATGTTTGCGGATGGAGGAGCGAGAATTGTGGCAAAGCCTAGCCTAGAACCCAGGTATTCTTGACCCATTCTTTTTCCCCAGCTCAGTCCAGGGCACAAAGAAGAGCAGAGTTCGATCATCCTCCCTGTCAGAGTCCTGGAACGGAGACTTGGGAACGTCAGGAGTCTACAAACAGAGGGCGGGGCAGTCCTCTCCGGAGTAGAAGGCGGGGCCAGTGCCCTGAGCCCCGCCCCATCCCGTTGCCCCGGGAAACCCCGGGTTGTAACAATAACCGGTGACGCGCTTCTGGGAGGGATCCTGTCGAGCCCATGGGCAGGACAGTCCAGCCGCGGACCAATGGGAGTGTTAGGGCTCCGCCCCCTAGCCCCCCCGCCTCCGCGCCGAGCAGGGGGCGGGGTCGCGCCAGCCGCTCCGCCCCTGCTCCGTAGGCGGCGCTGTTGCTTGCAGGGGCTGCGGCGGGGTCGCCCCGAGCTGGGAGCTCAGCGCCCGGTCTCCCAGCCCGCGGGCGGGGCACCTGGGCTGGCTGAGGATTCCGCGGCCGCAGGCGAAACGCCCCGCCCCCTCCCGCGTCGGGCCCGCCCCCTCCCCGTCCCCCGCCCATCCCGAGGTGCAGCCGGCGCTGAGCGCGGCAGGCGCGGGAGCTGGCGCTGGAGCCGGAGCGGCGGCGGCGGCAGCATTCACCGGGCGGCGGCGGCGCGGGCTCCGGCACCGGCTCGGGCTCCGGCATGGTGCAATCCGGCCTCGTCCCGGGAGAGCAGGGCCCGTGCGCAGGGCCGGCGCCCGGGGAGCGGCGGCAGCGGCGGTGGCGGTGGTGGCTGCAGGCGCAGGCAGGCGGCAGGTGCTAGAAGCGGGGCTGGGCGAGGTGTGTGCCCGCTGGGCTCCCGGGCCGCCGCCCCCTCACTGCCCAGGTCTTTCCCTCCCTTCGTGCTCCCCAGCGCGTCCAGCCCCCTGCCTCCGCGCCTCGGCCCATGGCGCCCCGCGGCTGAGACAGCGCCGCCAGGGACCCCTCCCGCGGGCCTCCCCGGGGCGTGCAGATCCCGGAGCCGCCCGCCCACCCTCCGCGAAGCCTCCCTCCCCTCCTCGCCCGAGCCGGGCGGGACCATGGCTGCGAAGCTGCGAGCGCATCAGGTGGACGTGGACCCGGACTTCGCGCCGCAGAGCCGGCCGCGCTCGTGTACCTGGCCCCTGCCGCAGCCTGACTTGGCCGGCGACGAGGACGGAGCGCTGGGCGCAGGGGTGGCCGAGGGCGCCGAGGACTGCGGGCCGGAGCGCCGGGCTACGGCCCCGGCGATGGCCCCAGCGCCGCCCCTGGGCGCGGAGGTCGGACCGCTGCGGAAAGCGAAGAGCTCTCGGCGGAACGCGTGGGGGAACCTGTCCTACGCCGACCTCATCACCAAAGCCATCGAGAGCGCCCCGGACAAGCGGCTCACGCTCTCGCAGATCTACGACTGGATGGTCCGTTACGTGCCCTACTTCAAGGATAAAGGCGACAGCAACAGCTCGGCCGGCTGGAAGGTGGGGGCGTCCGGCTGGGGAGGGGGCTGGGGACGCCGACTGGGGCTTCCAGGGGCTGCTAGGTGTGTTGGGCTCCAGGAGGGCCGTCAGAAGGAGGGCTTTTTGGCACCCCCCGGGGTCACAGAGTGTGCGCCCAGGGCGTGGGGCCGGCCAGCGGACGGGCGGGGGCGTACTGGGAGCAGCTGTGTGCGTGCTCCCTTGCGGGGAGGGATGCGGGGTGGGAGGTCTGGTAGGGTGACAAGGGACTGCCGCTTTGAGGCGTCCCCGAGGCACGTCCCCACCCTGTCCTTGGGGGCATAGCAGAGGAACCCATTCCCAGGCCGCGGACATTGGGGAGCCTCCCCCTCCTCCCCCAAGTCTGCTTTGTGTGACTCTTGTTTTACCCTTTCCACCAGGGCACCCTTCTTAGAGCGCTGGAATAATGACTTGGGGCCAATGCCGGCTTTCCCTCCCAAATCTCTATCATTGCGCTTCCTGGAGCTGTCCCCAGGGTGAGGAGTGTGACCATGGGCCCACAGTTCTTCTTGTGGTGCCAGAGTTCACCCTAGGGCACCAACCAGCCTGGAGTGGGGAACTCGGCAGGTGACCTGAGATCTGAGTTCTCCATGGGGTGGCTGCTGCCCCCCTTACCTAGATCAGGATGGGGGTCACTGGTGATGGCCCCTGCTGGTGTGAGGACAGGGTGTTGAGAGCTGGGGATCTGTCCATACCCACCCAGGATGCTTTTTTCCACTTCCCTAGCTGTCGGAGCCCAGATCCATTTAGGGGCTGGGGGAGGGGCAGGGTACCCCAGGGAGGCCTCAGTGCCAGCCAGTGGAAAGGGGGGAGCCACCTTAGGAGGGGACAGGGGCTTGCTTGGATTGTGGCCTCTCGACCCAGCTCCTCCCCTGGCCATCTTGTTGGAGAGTGGGGATAGTCTATGCCTTTGGGGGAGAGGAGGCTGGAGACCCCTCCTGTGCCTAGGAGGCGAACTGTCAGCCTCCCTATGGGAGGAGTGGCCTCTGTGAGGGAGGCATGCCTATGTCAAGGGAGGGGGCTGTGCCCTGTGGTGCCTGTGAGCTGGGTCAGAGGAAGGAGGTGTGCCAGTGGAGGAGGGGAGACTTGTGGGCATGAACAGCTCTAGATACCCAGGGGCAGCATTGTAGAGCCAGGGTATCCTGACCTGGGAGCCCATGGCTCTCAGGGTTAGTGCTGGCAGCTTCTGTCCCTCACCGGCCACTGTGGGGCAGGAACACAGGCTGGAGGAGTAGACCTGGGTCTCTTTCCGCATCCCCTCTCCCATCCCCTTGGGCTCAACCCCCACCAGAACACATTTCCCCCAAGTGTGTCCTGCACTCCCCATGCCCTGGCTTACTCCTCCCTGTAGATGTCCTCAAGGGTACAGAGTTCAGATGCCTCCTCCAGGAAGCCTTCCCTAAACCCTTTTTAGCTAGCTTAGGACTCCCCTTTCTCTGGCCCTCTCCCTGCTGGTAGCAGGTTTTAGTCATTTGTGTTCTGTCTCATTTCCCCTCTCTACCCTGCTTTTGGAAGACAGTGGCAGTGTCAGAACCATTCTGTGCCCACAGCACCCAGCATACAGTCTTGACACCAAGAAGCCACCAGTGTGTGTCTAGTGAAAGAGTAGGGAACTGAGTGGATGGTGCAGGATGCTGAGGCAGGGGACAGTACATTGGGCCAGAGTGGCTGGGAGGGCTTCTTGCAGGACATGTAGCTCCAGCTGGGCTTGCTGCATCAGGCAGCATGGGGAAAGATGGGAAGAGGGAACATGAGGCTGGAAGTAAGCAGAGAACTGCAGTTCATTGAAGGTCTTGGGGCCAAACACTGTGAGAGGCACCTTGACACATCTGCCTTTAACGCTCTCAGCAGTCCCTGAGGTGGTTTTACTGTGACCAAATGGTCTCCCTCCAGGGTCTCCAAAGCCGGCATTGGCCCCAGGTACAAGGAAGGCCCTGAGGCCCGTATTTAGGAGTGAACTGGTCACACAGTTAGTAGATGGGAAAGCTGGAATCCAGCCTACATGTGTCTCCCTCCAGGGTCCCCAAGCACCTCTGGAACAGTGTCCTGCTGGCGGGGGGGTGGGGGGGTGGGAGGGACACACTGAAGGCTTTGAATATGGGCAGGTATAAATCCTAAAACGTGATTGAGAATATGCTTGGAGATAGTTTAGACCCATGAGTTCATTTCCCAGACGGTGAGACTGAGGCCCTGGAAGGGGATAGGAGTCTTGCCACTGGCATCACTGAGCAGCAGGCCTTGGATGAGGGCCCAGGCCTCCCGCCTGCCCATTGGATGCGGTTTCCACAGCACCACACTGCTAGGGACACACCGATTCTCCCTGTGCCTGGGCTCCCAGTCACGGGCTGTGTGTTGGAGAGGGAGCCTAAGGCGTGGGCTCCTGACCTAGGTTTTGGCAGAGACCACCCAGGCACTGGAAAGGGGCCTGCCTGATGCTGTCCCCTTCCACTTCACCCTCTACCCAGCTCCCCAGCAAGCCTACTTCCCCACTTATTCCTGGAGCTTCCTGCATGGTGCCCTTCCCCATTCCCAGTCGTTTCCTCCAGAGGCCTGGTGAAAGAGCCGTCCCAGCTCCCAGCCAGGCTCAGGTTGACAGACAGAACACCTCAGGTGCCAGGCCTGGGGCCAGGGCCCACTGTTCTCTCCTCATTCCCCTCCCCTACAAATATACTGCAATTGAATCCCTGGGGTGTACCAAACCCTGTGTTAGATGGGGCAGGGGACCAAAGGAGAAGGCATTAATTGGATCTATTTCAGAATAATCAGGACTTAGCCAGTTCCACACCCAGGCTTGTGTTTTGTAGATAGGAAAGGCTGGGGATGGGGGTAGGGAAAGGTAGGGGAAGGGGAGTTAGATACCCTGGGGGAGCCAGGGAGGTCCTCACAGAGGAGGTGGCACTTGGACTGCACTGCCTTCACTGGGGAGGGGAGAATTTGGGAGATAGTCTTCCAGGAAGTATTGACTGCATTCCCAAAGGCAGGGAGGTGAAATTGTGCATGTCTGATTTGGGGACAGTTTGGGTGTGCCAGACTCAAACCAAGGGTGTCCAGGCAAGACAGGGAGGTGGCATGGGAAGGGTGGAATGGGCCAGATCAGGAAGGGATGACATGCTTAGCCTTATCCCTGTGGTCACACCTGTGATGCAGGGAGGTGGCTGAGTGGTGCAGGACAGCAATTGGAGAAGACAAGACCAGCAGCAGGCTTGGGGACACCCAGACTATGCTGAGGCCTAGAGAGGCTGGGCTCATTGCTGGGAACCCAACCAAAGGGGCTGGTCATGTTCCCCTCCAGGCCTAGGATGGGGGCTTGGATAGGCGGTGCCTCTACAGCGTCCCAAGACTGAATATCCAGGTAGAGCCTCCTACTTTCTCTCAGATGCTCCAGTCTCACTTTCCCTTGGCCCTGGACTCCTCTGGGAAGCCTTTCAGGCTGCTCTGAGTTCTGGCACACCTTCCACTTAGTGCCCCTGGAGTTGTTCTGCCTGCTTTTGTGTTTCCTGGCTGCCAGCTCCACTGGGAGCTCCCAGGCCAGGCCTGGGCGCCTCCCATTCCTGTCCCCAGAAGGAGCACTCTGGATGGGAACTTCCCTTCTCTCCCAGGGGCTGGGGCAGCCTGGGTGATGAGAGGTGGGATCAGGAGGGGTGGCACCACCCCCATCTGGCCCAGTAAGTTCCAGGTGGGGTGGGGCTGGAAGAGAGGGACTCATCTGAGAGGGTGGGGGCAGGGTCCTGCTACAGCCCTGAGCAGTGGCTGTCAGCTGAAGCCACCCGCTTCCTCTCCCCCCAGCCTGCTCCAGCAGGGCTCCCTCCTCCTCCTTTGTCCTCCGGGGATCCCCAGCCCCAAGGGCTGATGGGGGTGCGGGAGGAGGCGGTGTGAGCCCCGGTTGGGGGGTGTCCTCACCCCCCTCACTGCATGAGCGGGGGGCTGGCAGCTGCCCGCCTCCTGGGCACGAGCCCGTGCCAGCCGCTCCTGGCACAGTTGCTGGCACGCCCGGCAGACTCCCACAACCACCTGCTCACACCCACCCACGAGCGCTGGCGCGCTTCGGGCCCTTCCGGCTTCCCGGGCCTCCCGGCGCCCCTCCCCCGCCGCCGTGCCCAGCCCCCCCACCCCGCTCTGCTCCCCGCGGACCCCCTCGCTCCCTTCCGGCCCCACGGCGGCCGCCCCCGCCACACTCCCCGCGCAACTTAGGGAGCTGAGGAGGCGGGGCTCAGGGAGGCCCCTGGGGCAGCCACGCGGCGGGAGAGGAGGGGGCCTGGAGGCAGACAGACCGACAGACAGGGTGAGGGCCCCGCCTGCCACCTGGCGCCGCTCCAGCGGGACGATGGCGGGCAGCGCCGTGCCAGGCGGTAATTGCAGACAGACTAATTTAAAGAGATGAGACGGTTATTTTTAACTCGCGTTAAGGTAATGAACGGCGCGGGGGGTTTGCGGGTTCGAAAGTTCAGCGCCCCCAGCCCCCACTTTCTGCGGGTCTGGGGGGCCCCTCTCTGCACGCCCCGAGGGCTCCAGCCAAGGGACTGACTAGAGGGAGCAGGGAGGTTGAGGAACTGGAGAGGCCCTGCCAGAGGGGCGGAGGGCTGAGGGGGCCGTGACAGAGGCGCCCGCCGGTCCAGAGCACTCCCATCAGACCCTCATCGCCACCCAGGCGGGCTGGCACCCCTGTGTTCCAGGTGGGGAAGTGACTTTCCCTGAGGTCGCTACCTGTGAAGTAGTGGACCTGGGAATTGGACCCCAAGCTCGAGCTTTTTCTGTTCCATTGGGTAGGATTGAGGTGGGGCAGGGGCTGGAGGGAAGGGCTTGTTTTCGACTCTGAAAGGCTTCAGGGCTTGTTCCCTGCCGCCTACCTTCCCTGTCTTTGAGTGGCAGCTAGTGGTGACCACCACATGGGGTCCTATCTGTGACTTGTAAGGGTTGAGGGGTAGTCAAGTACTGGGTGGGATGTGGGTGCATCAGCTACAGCAGGGGGAGCCCCTTCCTCACCTCAGTTTCCCTTACCTCCCAGCAGACTCACTAGATCCCCTTCCCAACTCCCGTTTACCCAGAGTTGGGGGTGCCTCGGAAACAGGAGAGGGTGGGGCTGGGCCTGCCTATGCATTGGTGCCTGCTCCCTCACGTTCAGATCAGACTTGGGTTCTCCAAAGAGCTGCAGAGTCCTGGAACCCAGTCTCTGCACCCCTGACTCCTCCCCAGCTCAACCCCCTCTGACACACTCCCAGCGACTGGAAACTCACCGTCTCTGGGATTGCCCATTCTGTTGCTAGACAAGTCTTTTTTTTTTTTTTTTTTTCTGAGACAAGGTCTCACTCTGTCACCCAGGCTGGGGTGCAGTGGCAGAGATCACTGCAGCCTCGACCTCCTGGGCTCAAGTGATCCTCCCACCTCGGCCTCCTGAGTGACTAGGACCATGGGCACAGGCCATCCCACCTGGGCTAATTTAAAAAAGATGTTTTTGTAGAGACAGGGGTCTTCCCTATGTTGTCCAGGCTGGTCTTGAACTTCTGGGTTCAAAGGATCCACCTGCCTCAGCCTCCCAAAGTGCTGGGATTACATCGTGGCATGAGCCACCATGCCTGGCTGCTAGGTGAGTCTTAAAGCTTTTAGGACTTATTTCCTTCTCCCCAGCAGTACCCCATCCCCTTTCAGCATCACACAGGGTTTTCTAGTCCAGCCCTTTGGTGTCATTTGGAGTTAGCTGTGGAGTCAGGAGTAGGTGAGGGGCTGGACAGAACACCTACCTGTAGGGAACCTGATCCATTGCATGTGTGAGCTGGAGCAAAGTTCTCTCCCATTCTGGTTCTCAGTGTTCTCATCTGTGTCCAAAGGGCCTTAACTCAGTCTCTTACCGGTTCAGTGCCGTAACTGACAAGCACACTGGTTCTAGGAGCCATGAGGGGTTCATTGGAAAGAGGGCACATAGTACTGAGAGGACTTCTCCCAGGTGGACACATGTGAGTACAGGTGTGGGTGGACTTGACTTTGGGACTCCTGTTTAAAGATGCCTGTCCTGTCTGTGGCAGTACCCAGGTGGCAGATATGCTCTGGGTACAATGAAAGGAGTGTTTATGGCAGTTCCAGCTGGCCCCCAGAGCAGGCAGATGGGGGTTCAGGGTGTTGGGTGGGCATGAGCTCAGGCTCTGGGACCTGGGTAGGGTTCTCAGGGGGACAGCTGGATCTGGAGCACCCCCCTTCTCCTGGCACCCTGGTTACCATAGAAACCAACTCCTGTTTGGGAGGGTTTGGCTGTTTGCTGCCTCTCCCCACCCCCCAACCCATATGTGGAGGTGGGAGGGGGGCCAGGTGGCGTGTGGGGGAGGGGCCTCCCACACCCTCCCCCAGGGGCCTCCCTCTTTGCAGAGAGAAACCTTTCTGGTCTCTAAGTGGGGGTGCTTCTTATGGAAAGGAGAAAGAGAGGTAAGAGAATTAATGTTTGGGTGCTAGGCAGTCAGTTGGGCAGTTCACATAAATTCTCTCATTTCATCTTCCCTGGATCCCTCTAGGTACACATTAATAACCCCATTTTGCAGTTGAGGAAACGGAGGCCCGGAAAAATGAGGTCATTTGGCCAAGGCAGCATAGCTGGGACAGGCGGAGCCTGGATTTAGCCGCGGACCCGTCTGTCTCTGCCACATTTCTGCATCTCCCCATGCTGGTGCTGTCAGCTCCACACGCCAGCCAGCCTTCCTGCCCCCAGGCTCTCCTGCTCCAGAACCCTCCTGGGCTCCTTGGTTCACCTGGAAGTCAACCAAGTACCCAAACTGCTCTGCTGGGACCCATAGGCCCTCAGCCCACCTTGTCCAGGCCCTGCCCTTCCTCCCACTTTTCCTGCTTCCTCTGATCTCAGGTCGCCCTGGCATCTCCACCTTCACACCTGACACTGGAATTCTCAACCCACACCCCACTGCCGTTGTCACACGGTCACCAAGGCACCTATTGATTCTCCTTGGCTGATCCCTCGGGATACCCCTCAGAAACTAGGTGGGGTCTTGGGTGGTTTGAACAAAGCCCTACCTTCCAGGTGATTCTGGAACGCAACACTTCTGATTGAGAATTCCTGCCTCAAGTCCTTAGTTGTTTGCAAACCTGGCTGATGATCAGAGTCACCTAGAAGCTCTGACAACACAGGCTTCCAGTCCCCAGCTCAGATCCTCTATATCAGCATGGGCTCTGGAATCTGTGTATGGCTGGTGACAGGTCATTCTGAACTGATGCCTTAGAGGGTGGTTTCCTCACCTCCTGCCTGTCCCCCTGTCTCTTCCTCCCAGCATGGACCAGCTTCTACTCCAAGCAGGCTGCCCAGGTTGAGGCTACGCCCCTCTTCCTCACTCCTTCTGGGTCCTCCAGAGTTCTGAACCCCATGCAGTCAGCACCCAGGGACTGGGCCACCACGTCAGCATCATGCAGCCACCCCATGGCTTAGAAATCACACTGTATAGGACATGGATGAAGAGAATGGAGCCACAGCCAGGGCTGATATGCTTTGCTACTAGGAGCCTTTGCTGCAGGAGGGAGGGAGGGCTGCCCTGGGCTCCTGCAGTCCCTTGGCAAGGGGACAGAGAGCCCAGGGTAGCCCCTGGGGACAAGGCCAGAGTCTGTGTGGTTGTAAATACTCAGGAAGCCTCTCTGGAACTGGAATGGTGAAGAAACTAAAAGTCACAGCCGGGCGTGGTGGCTCACGCTTGTAATCCCAGCACTTTGGGAGGCCGAGGTGAGCGGATCATGAGGTCAGGAGATTGAGACCATCCTGGCTAACACGGTGAAACCCCGTCTCTACTAAAAATACAAAAAATTAGCCGGGCGTGGTGGCGGGCACCTGTAGTCCCAGCTACTGGGGAGGCTGAGGCAGGAGAATGGCGTGAACCTGGGAGGTGGAGCTTGCAGAGAGCTGAGATTGCGCCACTACACTCCAGCCTGGGCGACAGAGCGAGACTCCGTCTCAAAAAAAAAAAAAAAAAAGTCACAGCCCCTGCTCTCAGAGAGCAGAGAAGAGGGAGAGAAGAGGGTCATGTGTATAGCTGCTTAATCCAGTCCTGGGGCCTTAGTAGGACACTTAAGGCCTGGCCACCAGCCCTAGTCAACCTTTCCAGCCACCCTCCCATCTTCTGACCCTTGCCCTAGCCACACTGAACTATTCCAGCTCAGGATTCAACCTGCCATGTGCCATTACGTACATTCTTTCATTTAATTTCCCAGCAACCCTGTGAAGCTGGTAGGGTTACTTTCCCCATTTTGCAGGTGAGGAAACAAAGAATGAGAAAAGTAAGCAGCTTGAACAGTACCCTACTCTAAGTGGCAGAAACGAAACTCTCCAGGACTAACTCCACCCTAGCCCAGGGCTCTGACCTTCCTCCCCTCTGCCCCTTCCCCCTCCCAATCATTGTCTCTCTGCTATCCCTTGGAGTTTGGCCCTCAGGCTTCTGGCCTGGGGAATGGCCCTGGGGTCCCTGGCTCCCATTCCCAGATAGAGAGCACCCTGAAGGTGGGGGCAGACCAGCCTGATGTTCCCCTGGTCTGCAGCCCCCAGGGCTGAGGCAGCTCCCTCCATTCCGTGATCCAGGGCTACATCCACTGGGTACCTATTATGCAGGGCTGCTGGGTGGGGACTGGACTAGCTCCTTGACCTTGAGATCCCAGCCTGCAGGGGTCAAGCTAGGGAGATAAAAGGAGGACACTGACTCTGATGCAGGGTAAAACCTGCTCAGGGTCATGATGGAAGGCCAGATAATGAGCTGAGTGTTTGGAGGTAGAAGAGGGGAAGGGAGACAAAGCAGACAAAGAGGGTCAAGGCCTCAGGACTGTGTGGGGAGCCGCAGAGGGTCTGGCTGTGCTTATGTGGGGCCCAGCAGGCGTTGAAACTGGGAAAGCAAGTGAGTGGCCTTGAAGAGCAGCATCCCACGCTCTGGGCTTCTCACTGCGAATTCTCCATGGGAATGACATGGGCAGAGGTCACTCAAGGGTGCTGTGGGGAGTGGACAGGAGGGAGAGGCTGGCCCAGGTGCCCAGTGTGGGCCTGCTACTGGGGTCCAGGGGAGAAAATGAGCCTGAGATAGGGCAGAGGCCCAAAGAGTCCCAGATATCAGGCCTGGCATAGGCAGCACCCCTTGGTGCCTTGAGAATCCCTTAGGTGAGGCCAAGCTGTGTGGTTAGGAGTCTTGGAGGCAAACAGGCGGGCATAGCCTAGCTCTACTTACCCTCTGCGTAGCCTTGGGCAACTGAGCCTCAGTTTCTTCCTCTATAAAATAGGATAATAATAGGGTCCTTCCTCTAATGCTTCCCTTTCTTGTCCCTGAGACCGAGGTGTCAGATATTCAGGATGTCCAAGTTCCCTCCTGCCCTTAGGTGGGCCCACTGCTTTCTAGCCTCCAGAGCCTTCTCCATAGCCTTGGATGACAAGCAGGACAGGTTTTAGGCACCCCATTTTCACAGATGAAGGACATGTCTTGTTCAAGGTCACCCTTGAACCCAGGACTGCCCGCCCCTGGACATTGGCTCCTCTTTGCCCCACTGGCAAGCTGTGTGACCTTGGGCATGGCCCTTCCCTCTTTGGCTCTGAGTTCCCCTCCCCCAACACTCTGGGAAGCTGTGAGGCCTCTTCCTTCTCTCTCCTGTCCCCTCCCTCTGTCCTCAGCTGGCCTCCTCCTCCTCCTCTTGTAACCTGAGCTGGGGCCCTGGGGGAAGGGGCTTGCCCTCTTCCTGAGGCACCTGCCAGCTGAACAGATGTGCCGAGATGGAGGGCCCCGGGAAGGGATTGAGGGCTCTTAGCCAGACAAGGCTGGGGCCGGGGCTGGGGGAGGCAGTGCTCAGCACACCCTACCCTGGCCTCTGGCCTCTGCCCCTAGGGCTTACTCTGATCACTTGTTCATTTTCCAGTGGACATTTGAGTGCTCCAACATGTCCTGCAAGGACCTCTCAGTCTCTAGGAGAAGACAGATGGCAGATGAGGGCTGGTGCCCCGGTCTGGGTGGGCCGCCCTGGGCTCCTGGAGCCCCTTGGCATGGGGACCAAGGGCAGCCCCTGGGGGCAAGGCCAGTGTCTGTGCGGGTGGCCATGCCCCTGGGAGAGCAGATGGTTCTCTTGGCACCATGCCCACTCTTCCTCTTTCTCCCCCAGGAGCCAGCCTGCAGGGCTGGGGCACAGCTGCTGGGCCCTCCCCAGAGCTGGGCTCAGGGCAGGGCTGGGTGAGGTCACTGCAGCTGCTCCCAGGGCCTGGGGCAGGGGAGTGGGGAAGTGCTGCCTGCAGAGGGAGGGAGGGGCTCAGACTGAGAGGGGAGATGGAAAAGTCTGAATGCTTTGCATTTAGGGGTTCTTTTTAATCCCGAATGAAGGAGGGTCTGTGAAGGGGTTGCTGAACTAGTATGGAGAGTCCCCTTGCCCCTACCCCAGGCTCACGCTGGAGCTTCTGCTTGGCTTTGGCTCCTCTCTGGAGGTCTCTCAGGGCAGGAGAAAGAGCAAGGGCCCTGGGTGTAAATTCCTGCACCACCACTTACACTATGCGACCCTGGGCAAGTCAGTTTGTCTCTTGGAGCCTCAGTTTCTCATCTGTAAAATGGGGACAATAAACCAACCAGAGGGTTGTTACAAAAATTCAATGAGATAATTTTCGAGTGGCAGCACAGGGCATGGCATGTGGTCAATGTCTCAGAAGCAGTAGTCCTTCCCCACTCACTGCCTCACTTTCCCAAGGAGGCAGGAAGTACTGGGGTCAAGTAAGGAGGTGGCAGAGGCAACAGGAGCTGCAGGAGAAAGCAGCAGGGAGGAGGGTCAGACAGGACCCTGGTAGAGGGTGGGCAAGCCTTGGAGCTCTGGCCTGAGATTTTGCTGAACAGAAACTACACAGAAATGCCAGGCATGAGCAGCTCGTGGCTACTGAGGGCTCCATCCTATCTCTTGACTTCTCTTGAGCCAAGGATTGCCCCACAGAGTTCGAGTAGGGAGGCCAGCTCAGACACCACTTTGCTCTGGTTTGCTGTTAGATCTCTACAGGAGCACTAAGGTGGGAGCATCTATCTTTGGGGCTTGCATAGGGGATGAGGAAGGTGCCACAGAGCTAGCCTTGATGGAGGAACAGGAACTGATAGAGCAGAGAAAGGGACAAGAGTAAAGGGAACAGTGTGCAAAGGCACAGGGATGGGGACATCCAAGGTGGTTGGAGGCCCAGATGGCCCTAAGGGAAGGGGGCGATGAGGCTGGAGGACATCAGAGGGCTCTTTAGTATCAGCCTGGTTTTGGACCCAAGCCCGCAGGTGACAAGGACGAATGGGCATTGGAGCAGTGTGAGGTTGGACTTTCGTTGGTGGTTTATTTGCTGCCGAGCCTGGGTGTGTGGGCTCTGCTTTCTCTGGGGGGTGCCAGAGCCTCATGCCTTCCTTTGGATATTGGTTCCTCCTGGCCCCAGGCTGCCCACTCTAGGATCCGCTGCTGATCCTGAGCCCACTCACCTGGAGACATCTGTGTCCCATGGTCCCCAGCTGCCCTTCTATCCCTTCTCCACTGCAGACCCTAGTGCCGAGGATTTGCACATGGCCTCGGGTCCCTGGCATCATCCAGGTCACATCTTTTGCCAGGAAGAGGCCTGGACTGAGAACCTGAACTTCACCCCAGATGGCAGGGCAAGTGACTCTCAGGGTGTCTGTGGCTCTGTCTGACACAGGTGTGTGTTCCTAGGCCAGGCTGGGGCCCCAGAGTTGGGTGGGGGCAAGGGGTAGGATGGGGAGGCTCCTGGGGCTCTGAGACAGGGATGGGATGACATTCTTGACATGTGAGGTTTCATCCAGGTCCCATATGTCCCTGTGGATGCTGGGATTGTTATCTTCGTTATAGTGGAGGCCCACTGTCACATGGATGAAGTTGGGATTCAGTCTCCTGTCTTTGACCTCTCCGTATGCAGGAAGGAAGGCCAGGAGGGAAGGAGGAAATGGGAATCATAGAGGGGATCAGAGCCCTCACCACAGCCCCACAGGAGGTCACTGCAGTAACAGGTGCTGGGTCATTTTCCCCATCAGGTAGTCAGGGTCAGTCTCCTGAGGGAGGGGCTGGGCTGAGCCTTTGACTGTGATGCAACCTGGACAGGCATCCACACCTGACCTTGGGCTTGGGCTGTGATGGGTGGACACAAGATGCAGGGCCGCACTTGGATCCTGAAAGACCCCAGGTACCAGGGAGGCCAGGAGGTAGCACAGGGTTGGTGGTAGGTGGGGGCACAGTCCTTGTCCCCTGTCTCTGATGAAAGCTAGGAGAGCTTGGGCTTGAGCGTCAAGGTGGAGATGGCCACTGGGGTGGACAGCAGAGTGTCCCCTGCCACATTAGGGGTAGGTGTGGGAGAGCTCTGGCTTTGGAATCCAGCAGCCCTAAGACCCAAGCCTGGCTCCGTCATTTCCCAGCTTTGTGGCCTCAGGAGTCATTTAACCCACCTGAGCTTCAGTTTGCCCCCTTTGTAAAATCGCAGTACCTACTCACAGGATGGTTATCAGGATTAAAGGAGCCTAGCCTATGTTAGGCATGTAGTAGGTGGTGCCCTTCTCTGGCTTCAGCATTTGAAGCACATGCCAGTGGTGTGCGAGAGCTGGTTTGCACTGGCTCATGAGGGCTGATCGTGCACACTTCTTCCCAATTCTGCACTCGGTGACGTCATGTGGCAGTTTAAAATTGGCTATGATGTGAGTATCCGTACCACAGAAAGCAGCAACAGCTACAAATCAAATCAGGTAGGTTTTTTTTTTAACTTCCAGAAGAGCTGGTGGTTAAACATTTGCCAGCACACCACTAAATGTGCCCCAGAAAAGGTAACTTCCCCTAGTCCCACTGCCCAGGATCAGAAGAAGATGGCACAGAGATGGCCAGGCAAGTTGGCTCACACCTGTAATCCCAGCACTTTGGGAGGCCGAGGCAGGAAGATCACTTGAGGTCAGGAGTTTGAAACCAACGTGGGCAACATAAGAAATCCTCCTCTCTACAAAAAATATAAAAATTAGCCGAGTGTGGTAGCGCACACCTGTGGTCCCAGCTACTCGGGAGGGTAGGGCGGGAGGATCACTTGAGCCCAGGAGGTCAAGGGTACCATGAGCTATAATTGCACCACTGCACTCCAGCCTGGGTGACAGAGGGAGGCCCTGGCTCTAAATAAATAAATAAATAAATACCCTGGCAAGAAAGAAAGAAAGAAAGAGGAAAAGAAAAGAAAAGAAAGAATGAACGAACCTGGCTATAAATAAATAAGAAGATGGTACAGCAACCATGAGTCCATGTCCCAGAATCCATCCTGTGGGCCCTCTGTAGCCATGGTGGGGACAGAACAGGAGGCAGGGCAATAGTGGAGTTCTGGCTTGGCCAAGCAGCCTAGAACTCAAAGTCCATGGCCCCTTCTGGGCCTGGAGAAATTGGATGGTTATAGCACCAGGCAGCCCTTGTGGGTGGGGGACAGCAAATGAGGGACCTCTCTTTTCTCTACACTCTCCTTTGGCTCCCGGAGATCTGGCAGGCCCTGGCTGGAGGCATAAGATTAGATGAGGTTGAGCTGTTGGAGAATGAAGCTGTGTTGGGAGAAGAAATGAGGTTGTACCGGAAGATCAACGAGGTTGTGCTGTCAGGGAATGAGGTGGTACTTGGGGGCAAGGTGAGGCTGCATTATTAGATAAATGAGGTTGTACTGTCAGGGGATGAAGTGTACTTGTAGTAGAGATGACGTCCTGCTGGATCAGTCGGCTTTTGCTCCATCAGAGAACACAGCCACACCACAGGAGGAAGGAGAGTGTCCGACTCAGAGGATAAATGAGGGTGTCCTGCTGGATAAATGAGGGGGCCCGTCAGGTGAATGGAGTGCTGTTAGCAAATGAGGTTGTACTTGCTGGATAAATGGGACTGGTGTGCTGGATAAATGGGGTTGTGCTGTCAGGTGAATGCATTACTGCTCGTGGGTGAAGGGCATCCTGGGAATAGATGAGGGTGTCCTGCTGGATAGATGAGCTGCCACCACCAAATGGATCAGACCCTGTCCATGAGGGAGGCACCATCAGCAACGACGAGGTTATCCTGTTCCCACTGGGGCTCCTGGAGCGTCTTCTGGCCCAGGGGAGACCTCGGTGTGTGCCAGCCCTGGGTTATCCAAGTCTCTCTGGGGAGCAGGGTGGGGGGCTGGGGAGGGCAGGCAGCTGCATTGTGCACCGTGGGACCTCTCCTTCACCCCCAATGGATGCCCTACTCCTCTCCCTGGCACCCCTCAGTGGGTCAGACTGCTTCGGACATTCTCACCCCACTGCCTGCTTCTCATCCTGCCTGTGTCTTCTTTCTGCCCAGTTTGGAAAAGCCCCTATTATGTGTCAGCCACTCTGCCCAGTCTTATTTAATCTCCCTATAACACAGTATTACTCCTCCTTGCACATACACACTTTCTCTTATTCATTCATCCATTCATTCATTTGACAAACATTTAAGTGTCTAGTATGTACCAAACACATGAGGTACAGTTTTAAAAAGGATAAAAATCACTGCCCTCATGAAACTTATATTCTAATATAAAGATAGGATAAATAATGTATTAATTTAGAATGTGAAAATGCTTTAGAAAAACATAGAGCAGGATCAGGGGGCCAAGAAATTCCAGGGAAGAGGAACAGTTTTTAAGAGAGGTCAGGATGGGCCCCGTTCCAAGAGATGGCATCTGAACAAAGACTGGAAGGAGAGGAGCGATCTCTGTGGATATCTGGGGGCAGGCGGGACCATGCCTGGCAGGTTTGAGGATGGGAGGGAGGGATGGAGCGGGGTACCTGCATGGTCACTGTGGGTCTTGTGGGCCATGGCAAGGCCTTTGTTCCTCACTGTGAGTGAGATGGAGGGTGTCGGAGGGATCTGGGCAGGAATGGACGTGATCTCGGTTATTTGAAGGGTCACTCTGGCTGCTGCGTGGAGTGCTATAAGGAGGTGAGGGAGGGAGCAGGGAGCCATTTGAGGAATGGAGCTTGAAAACATCTTGCCCCAGGGTCATAGCACTCACAGGTGATGGGGCTGAAACGGGGAATCCAGTTCGAACGCTACAGCTGATGTACTTTGCCCTACTCTAGCCTCCTCCCTGGTGGGGGAATCCCTGGGGGCTGGGCTCCCTGGCCCAGGTTCTGAAGGAGAACGGGGTAGGCATGAGATATAACCCACTGTCCTTTCCCTCTGCCCCCAGATGGTCTCCCTCGGGCCCTGAATCAGGTATGTCCTGACTCCCCTAGCAACATGCTCCAGGTCTGGATGTAGGTGTGGGAGGCATGAGGCCCCAGAAGCTGGGCCCAGCTCTGGGCACCTGGGGAGCCCGGGCATGCCAGGGCTGTGGCTGTGGTGGTGGGTTGCTAGGCGACTCTAAGAGGGAGCCCTGGTTACTGCTGCCTGGCAGAGGCATCTCCCTCCTCTGCCTCTTTCACCTCCTCCATGGCCTCTGGCCTCCCAGGAGGCCTTGTGGTATGAGCCAGAGCTGTGATCAGTGCTTGCCACTGGATCTGGCAGGGAGCTCTGATTGGTACCAGGTGGCTGGGCCCTGAGGAGCCAGACTGGGCTGCAGGGCCTGAGCTTCTCTCATGGGGCACAGCCCTGGAGCATACCTGGTTCAGAGCCCAGCTCAGCAGTCAGAGGCCTAGGTCCTCGCTCAGCTCTGAGCCACCTTGTCTGACCCTGAGCAAGGCATGGCATCCCTCTGTGCCTCAAAGACCCCATCCATCTGGCCTGCAGAATCCTCCCCAGGAGCTTCATTTTCTGTGAAAAAGGGTGCTGAGTGCACAGGGATCCAGGTACTCCTGTCCCCACCACCATTGGCTTGAGTGTGTAACGCTTAAGTTTTGCACTAAATCTCATTTACAGAAAGAGTTCCCCTATTTAAGAAAAATGTTTGAAAACCTCTGGACTGAATGATTCTAAGGATTTTCATTGTCAAACTGAAAAGGTTCCCAGAGTACAACTTGCCCATCTCCTTAGTTTATAGTTCAGGACACTGAGGCCCCCAAAGAAGGAGAAACTTCATCTAGGTCAGGCTTGGTAGAGTGGGAGGAACACGGGGCTGGGGGTCGGGAGGCCTGGGCTCACATCCCTGCTCTGCCACCAGGTCTCGGACAGCCTTGGGCAAGTCCTTTCTTCCCCATGGGTTGGGCCAGCCATGGTTTCAGGCTGAGGCCTGAGCTCCAGGGGTACCTGGCTGGATATGGGACAGAGCAGGGAAGGATGCAAACCTTCAGAGGCCTGGAGCTTGTCTTGGCGGTAATTCTAAAACATGTGAATAATGTGTATAAAGAAAATGTGGGTGGATTATGAAGTCTATGCAAAGTTTCCTTGAAGTCTAAAAAGGAAGCTTAGACTTGCAGGAAATTTTGACCTGTGCAACATGCCCCCAGACTTCCCCTGCTGCCAGCTTCTAGGGATGGTTTACATGGAAAGTTTGAGGAGCACTGGAATACTGGCTTCCTAAGATTCTTTGGGATTCTCAGACCTGTTTCTGTCTTCCATGGCAGAATGTGATATCCTTTAGACTTAGAATAAGACCAACCTGTAATCCCAGCACTTTGGGAGGCCGAGGCGGGTGGATCATCTGAGGTCAGGAGTTCAAGACCAGTCTGGTCAACGTGGTGAAACCCCATCTCTACTAAAAATACAAAAATTAGCTGGGTGGCAGTGGCACGCACCTGTAATTCCAGCTACTTGGGAGGCTGAGGCAGGAGAATCACTTGAGCCTGGGAGGCGGAGGTTGCAGTGAGCTGAGATCGTGCCACTGTACTCCAGTCTGGGCTAGAGTGAAACCCTGTCTCAACAAAACAAAACAAAACAAAACAAAACACCAACCTGAAATCAATACATGGCACAGCACTTAAGCTGTGTGACCCTGGTAACTCACTTAACATCTCTGAGCCTCACTCTCCGGTTATGAGATAGGGATCACAATCCCTGACTTGTGTGGAGTTCATCTAATGATTACATTTGATAAAGTACTTAGAGTGCCCAGGGCTGAATGGGCAAGCGCTTGCTAGGTGCTGGTACCTGGTACTGTCCTTCCTCCAGGACATAATGACATTGATAAAGAGGTGTTGCCTGAGTGACCTCCAGCTGGAGAAATGGGGAGGTGGGAGGTGGAGCCTCTTGTAAGCCAGACAGTCCTATGGGGGAGGAGAACTGAGGCCTCCTAGGAGGCTGAACACAGGTGTTGGGGAGGGGCTGGGGAGCCAGGTGCAGGGGTGGGAACAGGAAGGGGGTATCTACTTGAGGGAGCACTGCTACCTGGGGGCCCAGCTCCCCTCCCCTCAGGGTCTCCAGAGAACCAGGCAGGGCAAGGCTGGCAAGTCCCAGCTGTTGCCTTCAAAGGCCAGAAAGTGCCAGAGACAGGGAGCCTGGGGCCCTGAGGAGTCAGATCAGTGCCTGGAGCTGGGGGTGAGGGGTGGGAGGGTACCCTGGGCAGCAGGAAGGACCCCTCCTCCAGGAGACTGGTGGGAAGGAGGCAGGAGGGAGAGCCTCACAGAGCAGTGGCTGTGAGTGTGGCTGGGTGGATTCACAGGTTAAGAGCAGGTCCATGAGCTGGGCAGAGCTGGAGTGGTACCGGGCATCGTTGCCTAGCTGTGGGGCCACGGGAAGTTACATCATGCCTCTGGGCCTCCGGTCCCTAGTGTATGAAATTGGAGAATGCCAGCTTCCCAGAGTTGTTGGTGCCCAGCACAGTTGCACACAAGGCATGATGTTAAAGAGATGGAAACAGCAGGTCTGTTGGGGGACCGAAGGGGTGAGAGCTTCTGGCCAGAGTGAGGATATAACCAACGTTTATAAGCACCTGGTGTGCAAATACTTATTCATGCACATGTAATGATCTTACAGCCTTAAGAGGTAGTTACTGAATGTAGCCCACTTTTTCAGAGTAGTTCACTGAGGCTCACAAGAAACTGAGTAAACACCCCATGGTCACATAGCTAGGCAGCCAAAGAGCCAGGCATCCTGTCCCACCCTCTGATACCCAAGCCCCTGCTGTTTCCATAGCAGTACCTGGACCAGGAAGTTGAGGCCACCAGGTGGGAGGCCCCAGAGGTGGGGTGCCGCAGGCCCAGCAGAAGTTCTACTCCAGATTCCAGTGGGGCCAGTGGACTTCCTGCCTTCCTCTGTCCTCAGAACAGGCCTGGCAAAAGCAGGCAGTGACATGGGGAGCACTGGAGACTGGCACAGCAGAATTAAAAAGAGGATGTATGGAGAGATGGCAGAGGTGAAGCCCAGGGAGGAACCGAGGGACAGCAGAAAAGGCCACCTTGGGCAAGCCATTCCTCTCTCTGAGCCTAGGTCTTCTGGCGTGTGAATGGGGACTTTGCCACACACTGTGGGGATTTTGAGAAGGCTCCAACAGCAAGGGGCTTGGAGGGCAGGCAGGTGGGTCAGGAGAGGAGGGCAGGGTGCAGCCCAAAGGGCAGGCAGGAGAGCTGGGCTGGCCTGAAGGTGGGCACTGAAGAGGGTGAAGGCTGAGGTCTCTGTGGCAAAAGGATGTCTTTTGAGGGGCCTGCTGGAATCCAAACCCTCTGTGGAGTTCACAGCAGCTAAGAGGAGTTGGGGTGATACCTCCGAAAAGTCTCAGGCCTGGACCCACCTTGGGGACCCCCAGCCTACTCTGTTTCCCCTGGCCAGGCCCTCCCAGCAAAGGGTTAACAGTCTTCTCTACCTGCAGTTGCATTTTAAAGACACGAAATTAAAGCAGGTAATTTATTCTCCCCACACACGAAAGAGCAATTAGTTCTAAACAGGGCTTAATCAGTCACCGCGAGATTGATTTCTGGAGCCCTGGGTTTTCGGGCTCCTGGCGCCACGCCAGGCTGGAGAGGGAGGGGGGCGGACAAATGAGCCGCGGCGGCATAAGCCCTTACGTAATCTGCTGGGGGCCCTGGCAGCCTGGTTAGCCCCGCGTGGGGCTTGGCTGAGCTGGGGAGACGGGGTCCTGCTCCCTGCTGCAGGCCCCCCGCAGGCTCAGAGTAGCCCACAGGGTTGGCCATGCCCCCAGGGAAAGGCTAGGCCCAAAGCTGTGGCCCCACCCTCTAGGCAGTCTCTGTGTGGGAGTGGGGAGGGATGGGGGGTGCAGTTCTGGGGCAGAGGGTGGGTACTCTGGGTTTGTCCAACCCGGTACTTACACCTGTCCCCTCCCTCTCCCAACCCCCTTACCTCATCCTCATCCCTATCTCCCTCCTCCTCCTACACTCTCTTATCCTCCCCCTCTTCTTTCCATCACGTCCCCTCTCTCCCCATGGCCTCCTCACCCCCCGACTCCCACCCGCGTCCTTGTCTCTGGCCACAGAACTCCATCCGGCACAACCTGTCGCTGCACACCCGTTTCATCCGCGTGCAGAACGAGGGCACCGGCAAGAGTTCGTGGTGGATGCTGAACCCCGAGGGCGGAAAGACAGGGAAGACCCCGCGGCGCAGGGCCGTGTCCATGGACAACGGGGCCAAGTTCCTGCGCATCAAGGGCAAGGCGAGCAAGAAGAAGCAGCTGCAGGCGCCCGAGCGAAGCCCGGACGACAGCTCCCCGAGTGCGCCCGCCCCGGGGCCGGTGCCTGCCGCAGCCAAGTGGGCCGCCAGCCCCGCCTCGCACGCCAGCGACGACTACGAGGCTTGGGCCGACTTCCGCGGCGGCGGGAGACCCCTGCTCGGGGAGGCGGCCGAGCTGGAGGACGACGAGGCCCTGGAGGCCCTGGCGCCATCATCGCCGCTCATGTACCCAAGCCCCGCCAGCGCGCTGTCGCCGGCGCTGGGCTCGCGCTGTCCGGGTGAGCTGCCCCGCCTGGCCGAGCTGGGAGGCCCGCTGGGCCTGCACGGCGGCGGCGGCGCGGGGCTGCCCGAGGGCCTGCTGGACGGCGCGCAGGACGCGTACGGGCCGCGGGCCCGCGCCGGGACGCCCGCCTACTTCGGCGGCTGCAAGGGCGGCGCCTACGGCGGGGGCGGGGGCTTCGGGCCGCCGGCGATGGGCGCTCTGCGCCGTCTGCCCATGCAGACCATCCAGGAGAACAAGCAGGCCAGCTTCGTGCCGGCCGCGGCGCCCTTCCGCCCTGGGGCGCTGCCCGCGCTGCTGCCGCCGCCGCCGCCCGCGCCCAGGCCCGGCCCGGTGCTGGGTGCGCCGGGGGAGCTGGCGCTGGCGGGCGCAGCCGCCGCCTACCCCGGCAAAGGGGCGGCCCCGTACGCGCCGCCCGCGCCCTCGCGCAGTGCCTTAGCCCACCCCATCAGCCTTATGACGCTGCCCGGCGAGGCGGGCGCCGCGGGCCTGGCACCGTCGGGCCACGCCGCCGCCTTCGGGGGCCCGCCCGGCGGCCTCCTGCTGGACGCTCTGCCGGGGCCCTACGCTGCCGCCGCCGCCGGGCCGCTGGGCGCCGCGCCCGACCGCTTCCCGGCCGACCTGGACCTCGACATGTTCAGCGGGAGCCTCGAGTGCGACGTGGAGTCCATCATCCTCAACGACTTCATGGACAGCGACGAAATGGACTTCAACTTCGATTCGGCCCTGCCTCCACCGCCGCCGGGCCTGGCCGGGGCCCCGCCCCCCAACCAGAGCTGGGTGCCGGGCTGAGGGCCGCCTCCCGCCTCCGGGCGCCCCGTCCCGTCCCCAGGGGGCCTCTGTCTTCCCATCCTGATTCCCGGGTCCCTGCCCCCGACTCTAGCTCCCCAGGAGGCGGCCCCAGCCCAGCTAGGGACCCCTCTCGGAGGCCGGCCGCCGGGGAAGGGGAGGGAGGGGCCGGGGCACCCCACTGCTCCTGCCCACACTCCTGAGATCCACCCCCTTCTCCTGGGCAGGAAGCCTGGGAGAGGAGGCTGAATTCCAGGCTGGCTGGGAGTAGGGAGGAGCGGGGTGGGCCGCCTGGTGTGGACGGTGGTCGGGGAAGCCAACTAGGAGATGGGCCAGGGAGCGTTTACAAATCTTCAGTTTCATTTGCGGAGGCCTAGCCGTGACCCCGCGCCCACCCCAAACACGGATCTGATTCCCACTTGACACACTTTCCCACTGGTCTTAGTCTCACCCACCCGAAGCCAGCAACCCTCTGCGGAAAACTCACACCTACCTATATCCATCCACCCTGAGCAGCCCTCCACCCCCAAATCGCCCTCCGACGACCGCCACCCCCACAGTTCAGTCTCCCCCTCCCATCCCTGCCGGCCCTCGCTTCTCCCCTCCCCCGTCGGAGTCAGTCCCTCTCTTCAACCGCCCCCACCCCCTAGTACTGGTCTCAGCTTCTCCAGCGGGCCTCAGCCCCGTCCACCCCCAACCCCGACGCCCCTTTCTCCGCGCCAGTTCTGGCCCTTCTCCCATATTTATAAGTGTCCGGCCGGGACGGGCGGTGGGCGCGGCGTCCCCGGCGCGTATCGTAGGCAGTGTACCGTGGCCGTGCCGTCAGAGTGTGCGTGTGCGTGTGTGCCGTGTCGAGGCTGTGTAGAGTGCATTGTACAGCATATTTTCATGAATAAAATTGTTTTAAATATTTCCCGCGCCTTGGGCTAGAGGAAGGGGAGTGGTGGCGGAGGATAATTGACAGGGAACTTGGGGCAGGGGGAGGGTTCCTGTGCCTGAGTCACTATTGTGGCTTTTTGTCTGGGTACTCGTCAGCCTTTGCTAAACTAATGCTCCTCTGCCCGGCACATATTGGTTAAGCGCCTACTGAGTCCCCCGTGCTGAAGATGTGCTTCGTCGAGCTCTGCACCTGTTTCTGTGAACATGTGCATGCACGAAGTTTTGGCCCAGGAAAATGCGTCCTAAATAAGCCTCAGAGATTGGGAGAGGATGCACAAATATTTACTGAGAACCTTTAGTGCCAGGCTCTGTGTTGGGCACGATTTTTGTTCCCATTGTACAGATGAGAAAACAAGGTCAGAGAGAGAAAATGACTTGGGAAGGAGGGTAGAGATGGTGAAAAGAGATCCCTTTGAGGTGCACAGACTGCTGTTGGAATCCATTTCCTACAGTTTGCCAGCTGTGTGACCTCGGGCAAATTTTCAGCCTCTGAAGCCTTGTCTTCCTGGACTACACCATGGAATAGTAGCATCCATCTCATGAACTTCTGTCAGGCATGAGGAAAGGTATGGAAAGTGTTCAGCGCAGGTCCTGCACTCGTTCATTCCAGGAAGATTCGGTGAGCACCTGTTAAGTTCTTATACCAAGCATTGGGGCTGCCCTAGAGCCACACGGACACAGTCTCTACTCTTAAGGAACTTAGAGGCTCCTGGGGAGAACAGGCCAGCAAATAGGCGATTATAGATCAAAGCTGTGCTGATCGGAGGAGGAGCTGGGGGCTGTCGTGGGAATGAATGATGGGGCAGCACTCATCTTGGACTTGAGTCAGGGAAGGTGCCTGGACTGGTGCTGCCTCAGCTAAGCTTGGTAGGAGGAACTGGCATTGGGAAGGAGATTTAGATGAAATGGCATGTTCAAAGGCCCAGAGTCAAGAGGTGTGTGGATTCCAGAACCAAAAGCAGTTGAGTGTGGCTAAAGTTCAGAGAGGGACAGATTACTGATGGCAGGGAGGCTAATGGGCCAGAGGGTTCAACAGTGGAAGAGGGACAGTGTGGCCCAGCCAGAGGTGCTGATGTGGCTCAAACCAAGTTATGGGGGAGGACAGTGGGGCTGCAAGGGAAAGGATGAATTCACATCTACTTTGGATATGGAGTCATTGGGGACTTGGTTGTGGATTGGACCTGGGGGATGAAGGACAGGGAAGCATCAATTGATGCTTGGTTTTTGTTTGGGTATCTGGGGAGACAGGGCCATTCCTTGAGATGGGGCACACCAAAGCAGGAGGAGCCCTAGGGAAATTGATGTGCTCATTTGAGCTATAGTTCATGAGAATCTTTGGGATTTGGAGCAGAGGGAGGGATGTTCAGGAGCATACACACTGCGTGAAATGACATTCTCTGGCACTGGGCAACATAGTGGCCCTGAGGTGTCCACTTGCATAGTGGGGTCAGAGCCCAGAAGGTGTCTGGGCTGGAAAGGGAGGTCAAGAATCAGGAACACAGAAGGTGTCACTGAGGGGTTGGAAATGGCTTGGGAGGGGGAGGATTGCAGAGTTGGAAGAGCAGGAAGTCCAAGTCTGCTTTGATGAACATCTTGGCACAGGAGGGACCCACTGGCTGAGAGGAGAAGAGAAGGAAAACCAGGACCCCAGGGGATTGGGGACGGTGTCCTAGAAAGGAATACCCAATGTTCTTGCCTTCTGGAGCCTCACTTTCTCGGTCTGAAAGATGGGGCAGTAGCACCTGTTTCACACATTTGTTTTGAGGAGTAAATAAGATAGGAATTATTGTGTGAGGTCACACTATTGGCAAGGGCCAGAGCCCCTGAGTGTGTACCTCCAACACCCAGGCTCTCGTGCAGCCCCCACTGCCTCTGATGAGGTGGCTGAGAGCAGAGGAGCAGAGGAACTCAGAGCCAGTAGAATCCGCACAGATTCTGGGCTCTGAGTTGGGGCTGAGACCCAACCTGGTATGGCGGGTGTCCCTGCCAAGTGGGGAGCACATAGAGGCTGATGGCCCCTCCCCTGGGACAGATGCCCCAGCCCCACCCTACAGCCAGCCTCTGAGACAGCCCAGCTGGGTGTGGGCTCCATATGGGCTGCAGAACTGCCCCCACCCTAGGCTGATGGAGGGTGGGCCGCTGGTGTGTGTGCGCAGGGCTGTGTGTTTCCATGTAGTCCCATATGTGTCTGTCTGTGTGGGCCTGTGTGTGTGTGTCTGTGTGTGTGTTAGGGGTTAGTGAGTGTGCTGGGCAGGTGGGGTGGTGCTTGAGGTTCTCCCTGCCGAGTGTGCACGTGGCTGGGCGTGTGTGTGTGTGTGCGTGTGTGTGTGGTGGGAATGACAGTGGATCTGCCTCCAAGTGTGCCCACACAAGTGCCGGGGCTGTGCAGTCCATGCCTGTGTGAGGTGCTGTCTCTGTCCCCACATGTGCCATGCACACCCTCCTCTCTGGGCTTGCCTGCCTGTCTTGGCACAAAGCTCTCTCCGGGAGCACCAGCACTGGTGTTCCCCTGCCAGGAGTGTCTTCTGGGCTGCTCTGCTGTCTGTCGGAGGGGAGGGGAGCAGAGGGACACTCCAGACCCTGGGATCCAGCCCAGCTTATGAGCAGGGAGGAGTGGGACCACCTCAGAGCTCTGACCGAGCTCTGCCTGGCTCAGGCCAGGGATCATTCCAGACACAGCTTCTGTCCTGCTGGGTCTCATCAGGAGAAAGGGGGCAACACCCCTGTGGCTGGGGGGCTGCAACTGGCTCTTCCCCATCAGCTTTGGAGCCCAGCAGACGCGCTCCCCTCTATGCCCACTCCCTGGGAGGCGTCTGACACATGATTTATTCATAAAAAGCCATTATTTGTGCCAAAGAAGAACTGAGCCGCTGGCTTTTTAAGTGCTGATAATGCTTTCAGCCTCCCTGCCTCTCCTCCTCTCCCTTCCCCTCCCGTCTTCTCTCTTCTCTCTCACCTCCTTCCTATCCTTTCTCCTCCTCCCCTTTCTTCCCCTTCCCCTCCGTTCTTTCCCTTGATATTCCTTGATTGTTCTCCCCACACCTCCTCTCCTATTTCTTTATAGACCTCCCCTCTCACGCCACTCAGCTCCTTCTCTCTACAGTGAGGCTGGGTCAGGGAGGCTCAGAATCAATTGTCCCAAACTGGGTAAGGCCTGCACTAGCCTGGAGCCCCAAGGACCCCACCCCTCCACCTCATCCTTCACCTCCAAAGGACCAGAGGAAGGTTGGGAGGAGGGGGGCCAGGCTGAGAAAAGTGGCGGGGTGAGGGGGGTCTTTGGAGGCTGTCCTGACCAGCTCCCCCTATGCTAAAGGGTGTGATTTCAGCACTCTTATTAGCACCAGTACCCCAGACTCCCAAGTAAACATTCAGTCTTGGTAAAAACAATGCACTTGCTATACAGGTTCAAGGTAAGCCCCTTAGAATGCCTTTCTCCCCTAAAGAATGCCCCCATATAGAAATTCTGGAGTCACCATTATTGAGGTGGTGCCAGGAGAGGATGGCATCAAGGGAGGCACTTGGGCCCCATGACAGAGCATCCCCTGTTCTCAGAGAGGAGGCAGCAGAATGAGTGTGTTCACAGAGCTTGAACATGGACCCAGGAAAGGTTCTTAGAAGCAGACACCATAGACCTACATGTGTGTGGCTTCGAACGTGCACATGCACACACAGACCAGCATGTGCATAGCTGCATACTTGCTCAGGCAGATGCAGAGCCATTCCTCACCCCTTTCCAAAGCTTTCCTCCCCTGAGCACCTGCAGCAGGGGCTGGAACATTTTCCCCATTCAGACACTTGCTCATTCATTCATCCATTCATTCATTCACTCCATGAACTTTGGTTTTATGCCCCCTCTGTGCCAGCCTTTGTGCTGGGCACTGGGGAGGCAGAAATAAACATTATTGGGCCCTAGAGAGGGGGACTGGAGCAGAGAGGGCACTACAGGCCCTCCCCTGCAGCCTTGGGCTGGGGGTTGGGGGCCCAGCAGGTGAGGGGTTAAGTCATTTGGCATCCAGAGCTGGAGCCATTAGGCCTCCTAATTATGAAATTATCGAGGTCCTCAGGTGACTGCTAATTTCACACACACTGTTCCTCTCACGGCTAATGAATGCCCGCAGAACCCACACCTTGTCTTTCCTGCTGAACGGTGACCTGCAGTTAATGAGCTCAGGAAGGCAGACAGGCCTCCGGCTGGGTGGGTGGGGCACCAAGCCTGAGGAGGGGCCCACTCACCCCTCCTTCCCCTCCCGGCTCCCTTTGCTGGCTGCCTGCCCCAGTGAAGACTCCAGGGCCAAAGCCCAGCCCGCAGTTTCTGCAGGACAGGCTAGGCCCAGCGCTCTTGGGAACAGGGAGAGATAAAGATTTGGGAGGGCTTTGGGTCATATGATCCTGGAATGAGCGTGGGCATAGTGAGGGAGGGATGGACGAGGCAGGAGTGAGAAATGAAATGTGGATGGTGGAAGAGGACCATTTCTGCTTGATTCTTGGGCCATGTCAGGGACATTTATGAAGGGTGAGGGAGTCATGACAGCTTAAGGGGTGGGGATTTGCGGGCAGGGTACAGTCACACCCTGATGCTGGAGACGACGATGACTTTGGGGGATAGTGATGCTGATGATACTGGGGATGTCAACTGGTGAGGCTGCCCTGCTGCTGGTTGTGATTTGTAAAGTTTAAATTTTTTAAATTAAAAAAGTAACATAAAACATGTACCCTGCAAACTAAGAAGGATAAAAACAAGGGACACATACTAGTTGCAATCTTAGGTGGGGCAGTGTGGGAGCCCACGTCTAGAGGCTGTGTTCCCCCAAATGGAGGCACGTGGATCCTCTGGGCTGACCACCAGGTGGGTTTGAAGGTCCTGTGGCCTGCCCATGGGGAGAGCCCTGCCCTAGCCATGACCCACCAGCCAGGTCAATACTGTTGAGTGGCAGCATGGTGAACGAGGACAGCAAGACAGTGAGAACCCCAGTCTGGGACATAAGCAGCCTTGTTCTAGCTTTCTCCTGCCCTGTGGCCTTGAGCCAGCTCCATTCCTTCTCTGGCCCTCTGTTTCTTGGTGAGTAAATGATAGGGTTAGACTAGAGCTGTGTGTTTCGATCTGTGTTTACAGAGAGGCAGGGCTGGGCTCCCTGAGGTCCACACTCAGCTTGCGGCAGGCACCCCGGGCCAGGGTCAGTGGAAGAATCCCAGGTTTAGTATTTGTGCACGAGGCACATTAGAAAGGTGAAGCTGCCCCTTCTCCCTCAGGACTCAGAAGGACATCCTGGATTCCCACCAGCCTGGCTGTAGGCTGTGTCTGCTGACAGCAAGTTTCCGTTCTGCCACCAGCTTGCATCTACTTCTGCACCTCAGTTTCCCACATGTCAAAGGTAGGTAATAAAGTGAGAACTCTCTTTGGATGCAACAAAAATCTCAGAAGTCCTGGCTGTCACTGTGTGACCTGGGCCCAACCAGGCTTTTCTCACGATTCTTCCAGTTCTCTCCCCAAGTGCCCACAGGGTGTCTTTCAGGCAGCTAGCTACATGATGAGGCCAGGAAAAGTGTCTGCACTGTGGGTGTTCCCAGGGAGGGGGGAAGCATAGGAAGAGAGGAGAGTCTGCCTGTCTGCCCACAGGCTCGCCCCTGCATCCTGCCAGCCCTTGAGATGTATTATCCCATTTGACCTGCACACCAATCAGAGGAAGATGCTTTTATTATTTCCATTACAGATGAGAAAACTGGAGATTCAAGAGGTTAAGTGACTAGCCCAAAGTCACAGAGCCAGAAAATGGTAGAGCCAGGTCTCAAACCCAAAGCTGATGGGCCACTGACTAGGTTAAACTTTTTCTCTCCATGCCAGACACAAATGGCCAGGTACACATATGCTTGTATATACATTCACACTAAGATACAGATAGACACAGAACTTCACTAATCGCCACATCTTCCCTGTATTTACACAAACAAGTTTGTTCTCCCCTGTGCTAAGGCAGGCAAACCCACACACCCATAGGCACAGTCAGACATGAATATATTCCTCATTCGTAGACTTGTAAAAATTCACATGTACATGCCCCCAGGCAGATGTTTGCACACAAACATACAAAGCACTTCTGCACATGCCTAAACACACGAAAGCACTATTGCATGTGCATGCAAACACTACCTAGGAAAGTGTGCATACACACAAATTCACACTCCCACGTGCACAGATGTTAGTGTTTACCCATGCACATGCACTGACATACAAACACAGAGTTGTACAAGAAATATCCTCAAGGGAGCATTTATACACATAGGTGCACATAGGTGTGCCTGTACAGGCACATATTCTGCACATATGAAGGAAGGCATATGAGTACTCTCACATGTGCATGCAGGCATGCACACACTTGCACACATGCAGAGAGCACACAGGCCCGGGTACCCTGGTACAGCAAGGTGAGCAGCTTCCCTGTACCCTGGGTGTGATGGATGGACCCACATTCTAAGTGACTATCAAAGTGTCGTGGTGTGTGAGGTGCAAACACCAATTAGTGGGGCCTTTGAAAGCATCGGCTTGTTAGAGGGGAAGCAGAAGAGGCTGGAACTGGCATAAAACATGGAGCTATTTAACTCTCACAGGGCGGGGGTGTGTGCACTGTGGAAAGGCCTTTGGGCAGAACTCCCCCCTCCATTCTGCACTTGTTACTGGAGAAGGACCCTCACGAGAGGCCTTGGCAGCCGGCTTTGATGCTCCTTGAAAGTGGGGGGTGGTGGGGGAGCCTCCTGCCAGCACTGGGCTGGCACTGAACGAGCGGGGGCTGCGCCAACTGGCGATCAATTTCATGCACATCGTAAACCTAAGTGCTTTCTGGAGAGTCGGGCAGATTGCACATAAAGTCCCCCTTCTGTCCCTAGCACACGGGTGGGCGGGTGAGGCAGAGGCTCACCCTAGCAGGCAGACCTCCACCAGGCTGCAGGAGACATGGGTAACCTGGTCCCCAGTAGGAGGTGTCCTTGGGGATGTGGGGAGCTCTCTCAGGAGGGCTGGCACTCTGGGGGCAGCTGGAGATGTGGACAGTGCATGAATCCAGAGTCTATAGGATTCTACTACTTGTTGGCTGAATGACCCTGGGCAATTAGCTTCTCTGACCCTTAGTTTCTTCATCTGTAAAATGGGTTTATGTGGGAATTAAATGAGCTCATGTCCTTGGCATGAGGTGACACAGAGCTGCAGAACTGATGAGGACAAGTAAGGTCATATTTACATTTATTCTTATGCCCAAATGACCCAGGATCAGAGTCCCCCCATGCTCACTGCAGGGCCTTTGGCCACCACCATTCCTGGCAGGCTTTGGGCGGTATGAGTGGGGGATCTCCCAGGGGGGCATAAACCTGTCTTTCATTAGAGGAGCCCACCTATTCTTCCATTCTGTTCCTGCCCAAACTCCTAACTGCTATCCTTGAACATGTCTGGAGAAGCCATCTCTCCCATCATGAAGTACTAATGCCAGCATGTTCTCCAAATACCCTGCCCTTTGGATGCCAAAGAGTGGTTCTGGGCTCTGCATCAAGGCCAGGGTGGCAGGGATGGAGCAGGACCCAGTCCAGAGCTTGGATCCTCCCCCAAACCCAACTACTGCCAGCCCAGGGGTCGACCTGAATGTAGCCATGCAGATGCCTGGGCCCCATGCTTTCTGTGGCCTGAGAAGGAAAGAGAGGTCTGCAGGGCCTTTCCTGTACTTCAAAGGCACCGGTCACACCCTCAAAGCAGGGTCTAGGCAGAGGGAAGCCTGGTTTTCACTGGGCAGTCCAGGTCTCTGGTCACACAACAAACACTGGAACCTGAGCATAGACCGGCCCAAAGGGAGACCAGGATTGAAGCCAGGCCCCCAAGCCCACCCCTCACAGTCCCAGCTCCAGGCCCTGGTGGCCCCTGCGGGGCCTAGGCCACCCTGACATTCACCTAATTGTCTTCCTGCTTTGATGAGTGGATCCGCAGAGGCGCCGCCACGGATCAAATTAAATGTGAGCCAAGCCGGCAGCCCCGATGATGGGAGGGAAATACCACATTTACATAGCCCAGCACAGGGGCAGGGAGACCCAGGCCCAGAGTGACAGAGACCATGGACCCAGGAGGAGGCAGGGGAGGAAGACAGAGGTGGGGCTGAGGTAGGGTGGGCAGAGGCATCCTCCCCAGGGTCGCTGTCACTGTTGAATAAAGGGCAGGTGGGGAGGGAGGATCAATACAGAAAGAGGCTCTTCCCACCTCCAGGCAGGTGACTGCCTCTCTGCCAAGCCCAGCCCGTTGGCCTAGAGGTGGGAAGGTGGGGCCCAGGATGCAGCCTTGTGCCCCTCCTATACCAACTCCCATCTGGGTTTCCACACAGCTCCCTTCACCCCAGCCCAGACCCCACAGCTGGGCTGCAGCTGCCTCCCTCAGCACAGCCCTGGTGGGTGCGGCCTTGAGCTTCTCTTAGGTTCACTTGGGGACATCCTGGCTGCCTGTCCTGGGTGTGCGAGAAGGAACGGGCCCAGGAAGGGTGCGTGGGTGTTTGTGTGTGTGTGGGTGGGTGGGGGTGTTTGTGTGTGTGTATGAATGTGACAGAGTGATCATGTGTGGCACCTGTATGAGACCTTTGTGCAGGTGTGTTGGCTGTCACTAGGCCTGGGCACCTGTTGGACATTAGTGAGCTAGGTCTTCCCTCTCCTCGATGTGGAGTCAGGCCTGAAGGCTCTGGGTGGTCTGGAGGCATCCACCTGTAGACACTGAGTCTGTGTGTGGGACGTGTGTGGCACTGGTGTCCAAGTCAGAGTGATTGTGCCAATGGCCCCTCCACCCCAAAAGCATGTTCCCAGGTGCAAAGCACTGTCACAGCCTGCAAACTACCCTGGGAGGTAGGTATTATCCCCACTTTACAGAGAGGAAAACTGAGGCTCAGAGGGGGAAGTGGAAGCATCCTGATTCGTACCAAGGGCACAGCTCCAACACAAACCTAGAACTGTCCCACCCAAACCCAGTCGGTCTTTGCCTGCTCTGCTGCTGCCTGTCTCTCTGAGTATGAAGGCTGGGCCTGATGGGTCCAGAGCACGCAGCACAGAGGGCTTGTGCTTAGTAGGGATTGACAAATGCTTATTCATCACTTCCTTCAACTTCCTAAACCTATTCCCTCCCGAAACACACCCTACTTTCCTCCTTTAGCCTTGCAGGCATGGACTGGACACCTCATATAGTATTTTCATCATTAACACCATTTACTGAATGCATGCCATGCAGCAGGCAGGAGCCATGCCCTTTCCACATGTGTCCTTGAACCCTATGCAGTAGGCACCTTCATCAGCTTCCTTAACAGATGTGGAAATGGAGGCTCACACAGATCAAGGAAAAGCTTTTTTTTTTTTTTTTCCCTTAGACGGAGTCTTACTTTGTCACCCAGGCTGGAGTGCTGTGGCATGATCTCAGCTCACTGCAACCTCTGCCTCCCTGGTTCAAACGATTCTCCTGCCTCAGCTTCCCAAGTAGCTGAGATTATAGGCGCTCACCACCACGCCTGGTTAATTTTTGTATTTTTAGTAGAGAGGGGGTTTCGCCATGTTGGCCAGGCTGGTCTCCAACTCCTGACCTCAAGTGATCCACCCGCCTTGGACTCCCAAAGTGCTAGGATTACAGGCGTGAGCCAGCATGCCTGGCCCATTTTGTTAAGAGTTAGGCTGTGCACCCAGATGTGCAGAGGCGTGTGGAAAGAGAGGCTTCCCATACGTGAATGTGTGTGTGGGCTTACACATTCACACAGTCGTGTGTGAGCACGTGCACCATGGTGTGAGAGTGAGGCCAGGGCAGGAGCAGGCAGGACCCCTTGCCCTCTGCCGGTCGCTGTGAGATGCTCCCACCAGCTCACATCATTGGCTGCTCACAACAACTCCACTACCTGAGAATTCTTAGTCCCCCATTTTTGGAATGAGCAAACTGAGGGTTGAAAATGGGAAGAGACGGCAAGTAGTACCAGGGCTGGTCCTGAGAGCCAGTAGCAGCCTCTAGATGCTGGTTCTTTCCAGAACTCCAAGGCTCAGCAAGGTGCGTCCTTTCCTTCCTGCCATCTTGGTGGGGCTGAGCACTGGGGTGGGGTGCATTCCTCTGTCTCTACCACCTGCTACTTGGCACTCCCTCACACCAGCTTCAGGGGAGCTAGGCCCACAAAAGTGCCTGTTGGCTCCACTGAGAAGCCCTTCCCCCTCACCCACGGGGTCCAGGGCGGCTTTTACTGGGAAAATAATTAGAAATCTAATTCTTATTTCTCCCACTCTGCTAATTGTCTGTGGACAATTTGATTGTAACAGTCGTCACTGAAGCAGAAAAACCACCTTATTTCTGCCAGACATCCTCCCTGCAATTAACACTAGCAACTGCTTTGCTCTCTTCTCACCTGCAGAGACCCAGGGCCCTGAGGTTCCCTCACCTTTCTGCCTCCCAGCTCTGGTAAGCACATCTGGGGACCAGGCGTAGCCACAGGGTGGGGGGATGGGGCAGAGGCAGGGTGGGTGTCCAGGGACCTAGAACCAAGACGACAGAAAGAGAGAGAGAGAGAGAGAGGAGAGAGAGAGAGAGAGAGAGAGAAGATGAATAAATATGAATATTTGAGCATTTGGATAAAAAAGGGAGAGATGGAGGCCTAGGCCCAGTGGGCGACAGAGAGCACTGGGCCAGACCTGGGTCAAGAGAGATGTGGGGAGAAGGGAAGGCAAAGGAGGGAAGAAAGTGCCCAGTATGGGCCAGGGTGACAGGGCAGGAGCCCAGACTGTCCCTCTGCCAAGGCAGGGGACAAAACTTCTCTGAGACAAAACCAGACAGTGTGTTTAGGAGCTGGCTGTGGAGGGCTCCCCAGAGAGCCCAGCCCCCTGTGGGATGTGGCTGATTAGGAAAGGAAGGAGCTCGGGAGGAGGGGATGGGGCACGAAGGCGATGGGGGGATGGGAAGGGGGATGGATCCGGACCCAGACAAGACTGCAAATGGCAACGGCACTGAGAATGAAACAGCACAATCCTGGACTGACCTGTTGATCAAAGCTACGAGGCTCCATTCTCCGGCCGCTACCGCCCTTCCCTCGCTGGGAGCACAGCCCCTCTGGGGAGAGGGTGGTGGGTGCCCTCCACTGTTATGACCCCACTGTTACTCCTCACACATCATATCTTCAGATCCCCCAGCCCTGTCCCGGTCCCCCACTCTGCCTCATATCTCCCCTGCTGGCAGGACCCTGGCAGGGGTTCCCACATGGGTTGAGTCTTCCCTCTTAGGACACAGGGCAGGCTGAGAGCTTAGCAGTCCCCTCAGCCTCTGCTGAAGCCTGGTGCAGAGGGCAGGAGAGAGCCTGCTGACTGTTGGCGCCAACCTGGGCACACTAGTGCCTGCTGCTCTCAGATGCCTGGCTCAAGGCATCTTCCCCAGGGCACCTGCAGGTGCCATGGGATGACTCGCTGCATGTTCTGTGAAGGGGGCAGGTGTGGGCAGCTCAGCTCAGCTCATAGAGGAGCCCTGAGCAGCGTCCCCTGCCTTCACCCCAGGGCTGCGCATGCCTGGTGAGGGCTCTGACCCAGCCTTTTCTCCCCTAGCTCAGAGTCTTGTGGGGAGAGTGGAGGGAGAGTGTGGGGGCTGGCAGCTAAGTGGAGGGGCCTGGGGCCTGCAGAGGGGTGATGGAGTGAGAGAAAGAGAAAGGGGAGCTTCATCCCAGAGCCTCCTCTGTCTCTTCTTCCCTCTGCCGTCTCTCAGCCCTCCCCGCTCCTCACTCCCAGTCTTGTCAGGGGAGGATGGGGTGCCAGGGGCTCCTGTCAGTCTGGAGCTGGAGAGCTCCCCGGGCTTCATTAACATGCAAATTAGCAAGTTCTGACTGGCTGTGGCAGCGACAGGCAGCCACCCCTCCCAGCCCCAGGAGTGTGTGTGTGTGTGTGTGTGTGTGTGTGTGTGTGTGTGTGTGTGTCTCCTCTGCGGCAGGGCTGGATGGAAGTGGGGGAGCAGCTCTCATTGCCCTGGTCTCCACAGACAGCAGTGCATGTGTGTCTAACATACATACACACACTTATACACTCATACCTACAGAAAGACACATAATACACAGCTACATACAGCCACACATCACACAGTCTTAGGGACATTCATGGACACACAGTTACGCGTATAGCGTCACACACACAACTTCACACACAGTGGTCACACCCTAAACTGTCTCAAATAGGCATACCCTTTCCAAACACACTATTTTTCACACCCTCACCACAACCCTGCCGAGGAACAAACCCACAAACACACCACCCCCTACACAGCCACACACATACACACATAATCTCAGTTACACAAAATCACACACAGGCACAGTCCAGGGAGAGAGCGGGGCTGAGGCTCCACACTCAGCCTGGGAGAGCAACTGCCTCCACCTGGACGCCCTCCATGCCCACCTCACCCACCTTCCCTCCACCTGAACTGGCCAAGATCAGCCTGTGTCTCCCCCGGTCAGCTCTCAAGGTTGAATACTGTCTGGCCCCTCTGCCTCGATGCACCCTGAACTCCCTCACCCGGTCCACTTGCACTGTCTTCCAGCCATCACCTCTCCTGGCTGCCTGCCCTCACCCTCTATCCGTGGGGCTGGGCCCCTGCTCCGGCCGCCCAGGCTTCCCTTGAGAGTGGCCCTGGTCACGCTGCATTGAAATTGCCCGTTGATGTGTCTGCCTCCATCAGGATGGGAGCTCCAGGAGGACAGGACCGGCGTCAGTCAGTCTTGTTTATGGCTCTGTCCCAGCGCTCAGCTCACTCTGACCTGTCCGTGCTATTTCCGCAGCAGATGGAGCGAGGGCCAGCAGTGTTAACAACGGGAATGGCTAAGATTTTTACATGGCATTCGCTCTGTGCTGGGCCATATACACAACAGCCCTACGAGAGAGTTTCTACTATTCACCACCCCATTGTCACAGTCAAGGAAACTAAGGCACAGAGGGCTTAAGGTGCCTGAGCAAGATCACCCAGCCAGAACTGCGGTCTGAACTCTGGTTCCCCAGCTCAGAATAGCCCTGTACATGCTCTTCCCAGGACTCTAGGCAGAGATGTGGGGTGTTGAGGGCGGTCACAGGGGGCCAGAAACATTCCTTGGCGAGGGGAAGAGCAGCAGGAGGAGATTTCAGTTCCCAGGAATAGACGGAGGACACTAGATCTCTGAGAGGAAGGTCTGTGGTCACTCACCACCTGCACGGAGGCCCTGGGCCATGGGATCCTGGGACATCAGGGTTGGGGAGATCGAGCAGGACATCCATTTTAGAGAGGGGTTGACTGACGCCAGAGAGGTCCTAAATCACACTTGCCTTCCATTTCTCGAATATCTGTAAAGTGTGCCAAGCACACTTGTTTATCTACTTTAACCCTTGAGACAGCCCAGTGAGGTTGGCACAATAGTTAGCTCCATTTTACAGGTCAGAAAAGTGAGGCTCCATGTATCTCTATATGCCCAAGGTTGGTGTGGATATCTGTGGTTTTGTCTACAAGGAATCATTTTCAACCCATGTTAACCCTGATTTTAGAATGGGAGCTGCCATCGTTTACAGAGCCTACCCTCCTGGGCAATGTTGATTGGCTCAGTGAAGGACACGTGATTCACACTGGGCCAATCAGAAGCCCTGGCTTGAGTTTATTTTATTTTATTTTATTTTATTTTATTTTATTTTATTTAGACAGAATCTCACTAGGTTGCCCAGGCTGGAGTGCAGTGGTGCCTTCTCAGCTCACTGCAAGCTCCGCCTCCCGGGTTCAAGTAATTCTCCCACCTCAGCCTCTGGAGTAGCTGTGATTACAGGCATGTGCCACCATGCCTAATTTTTGTAATTTTAGTAGAGACGGGGTTTTTCCATGTTGGCCAGGCTGGTCTCCAACTTCTGTGATCCGCCCGCCTCAGTCTCCCGAAGCATTGGGATTGCAGGCGTGAACCACCGCGCTCGGTCCTGGCTTGAGTTTTGAATTTAGGGTCAAGGTGAGCCTCTGGAGTTTTCAGCAGGCTGGATACTCCTCTGCAGTAGGAAAAGAGAAACGCAAACATGCTGAGAACAAGGGAGGGAGGTCCAGCTATCCCCTGCCTGTACTGGAGCACCTTAGGGTGCTTCAGCACATGTTTTGTTGACTGGGCAGTCTCCCAACTAGCTCCACCTTCCCACATCTCTCCCCCACCCTTCCTTGTCATCTCTCTGCTTGTCTAGGGCCCCACACTTACACAGGGGGCTCACAACAAGTGTACTAGGGTGCTGAAGAGGGGCAGGAGGGGGCTCTGCCCATTGGATAATCCCGGTGGGCACTGAGCCAGGATTCAGGGCACAGACCACCTCTCTTCTGCTGGATGACTGGCGAATAGCCAGCTTCAGTCACTGAGTGGTCCTCATCCTCACACTGCCCAAGGCCCAGGCCCTTGTCTGCTTGTTCACTCTGCCCAGAATAGTGTCTGACATACAGTAGGCACTCACTGTCCATTTTTGTAATGAGTGGATGGATGGATGAATGAACGGACTGACATATGTCCCTGTCCCAGGCCCTGGCTGGGCCACAGAGCTCACTCAGCTGTGTGGAGTGAGCCTTGTCATTGGGCACACTTGGTTCCCATGTGGCTCCCTGGCTCTGGAAACCACTGGAGCTTCTGGGTGCAGCTCAGTATGTGGTCCTCCCTCTGACCTGTCTGTCTCATCCCTTTCTTCACCTTCTTTCAGCCTTTGGAGTCTTTTATCCAGTCTAGAGTGCAGGGATGTGGAATCTGTGGGTAGCACTCTCAATGCAAGCTGCATCCAATTTTTTTTTTTTTTGGTCTTAACTTAGAAGAGTATCTTTTGAACGTAAAAGGCCAACAGTACACACTTTTGTTTCTTTTGTTCCATGCAGGGGTGACCCCAGTGTCACTGTGTATGGTGGAGCAGGCTATGAATGGCACCCCCGTGTTGTGTAATGTAGCAGGCTCAAGACTGATGGCCTTACTTCCAAGGCTGGGAAAGACCCTTGGGGAGCAAGTAAAGTCGTTTGGTGAGAGTTGGTGGGAGAAAGAGTGGCCTATTAATTAATAACTCAGAATGTCATAAGGCCACATCAGCTATTGAGCTAGGGACTCCAACCTAAGGCTCCTGACAACCCAGGACTTCCAGGCCCTCATAGTTGCCTTTCTGAATTCCCCAGAGAGCATTCTTAGCAAATTTGACCATTTGCTTCTGAAGTTAGAATTGTCAGGGCTTTCTGAACGTGGCTGGATGCATCTTGCCCTGTCCCCTGGGCCCTTGTCTTTCCCAGATCCAGTGTGAGGCCCATGTAGGGCTCGGCTGTGACCTACCATCCCGGTCTGAAGGCCACTGTTAGGCCTGTCTCTTCTGTTCAGAGGTTTTTGAGCCAGGAGAGGATCCTAGGTCTCTAGAGAGAGAAAAAAAGTCCAGGCCTGCCTGTGGGCCAGAGTCCTGAGTATGCTTCAAGGCTGACCCCAAATTCCGCCGGGTGGAATAGAGGTGCTTGCGTTTCTGGCTCTGGTTCCTCAGCTTGGCAGCTGCCATGGGCATCTGGCACAGAGAAGACAGAAGCCAGCATGGCCAGCACACCAGGGCAGCCCTCCCAGCCCTGGAAGCAAAGGGTTAACAGGCTAGGGAAGGAGGGAGCAGCAGTCCTTTGGCTAAGGAGCCTTGTTAATTGATTCCCTCATTCCCATTTGTTCCTGCTAAAGAGAGACAGATGAGACGGAGCCCGCCAGGCCCGTCTTGGCACCCGGCAGCTTGGCTGGGCACAGCTGTGCTCATGGCTCTGGTGTCTCTGTGGGGGAGGGGCCGGTCGTAGCGGAGGTGAGGAAGTGGGGCAGTCCCATCGCAGACCCCCCGTGCCCCTCTGCTCACTTCCCTACAGGCAGAGATGATTTCAGAGCTCTTTGGAGAGGACAGATCTTCTACTTCACCTTGTGGCACCTCTTTGATCTTTCTGCCTGCGCTGTCACCACCATGGGCTGGGAGCCCAGCAGCCAACACCGGAGGCAGCTCCCTCACTATGGGCTCCTGGTGGGACCCTGCCAGCCTGAGGCCCAGGCAAGGTTTCTGCCTGGAAGAGGGTCAGCTCTGGTCCATGAAGTTTAGTTCTGTGCCTTGGTGAGGCAGGCTGAGGTCTGTGTCACTGAAACTCGCCATGGCTGCAGGCTCTGTCTGAGCCCCCGGGTCCTGACCTGCTTTAGACCCAACTTTTTATCTGTTCCTGCCTCGTCTTCATCTCAGCCAAACTCGCTGATGCCTATAAAATTGGGTTGTTTTGGATTGTGACAGACGAGAGCCTGCCAGCTTCCCCTAAGAGAATGAAGTCTGAATGTCACCATGTAGTCAAGCCTGAGACCCTGGGGTTCACATGTCTGCCATGCTCTACCTGCATAACTTGGTCAGGCCATTTTTACCTCCGTGAGGCTTGATTTTTCTCACAGGGAAAATGGCAGTGATATTAGTACCTATCAGTGGTAGATTGCAAAAGTCGCCACAATTCCCCATCCCTCCCTGAGTGCGCCTCATGGCAGTAAAATTTGGCAACTTCTCTCATTGCCTTGAATCTAGGATGATCTTGGACTTACTTTGGCCAACAGAATGTGGTGGAAGTGACAGAGCCAGTTCTGAGCCCAAGCCTAAAGAGGCCTTGTATGCTTTCCTCCATTCTGTTGGAGCCCTGCCCAGCTGCTGTGTGAACAAGCATGGGCTATCCTGCTGGATGAAGAGAAATGTACGGCTCAGTCACCCTCAGCATGCAGATGTCAGCCAGCCAACCCCCAGAAGCAGAGCCACTTAACTGACTAGCAGCTGACTGCAGATGCATGAGTGAGCCCAGCAAAGGCCGGAAGAAGAGCTCAGCTGAATTTCCAAACCACAGAATCATGAGCTTAATAAGCAGTGGTTGTTTTAGCTATAAACATTGGGGTAATTTGTTATGCAGCAAAAGCTAACTGATACACTATCACTAATCACTGTCGTGTGGATTAAATGAGAAAATATAGTAAAGGACTTAGCAAAGTGCCTGGTACAGAACAGATGATCAGATAATAGAGCTTCTATTACTGTTGCCCAGGGTAGAGTCATTGACCACATATTAAAGCCTCTTGTATTTGAGATTGTTCTCTCATTGGCACTCAGAAGTTAAGAGACCTATCCCCTCCATACACTTTTGTAGCAGTGATGAAAATAACAGATAACATTACTGAGCACTTACTAAGTTCCTGGCTCTCAGGCTTTGTAGCAGGTGTTTTTTTTGTTGTTGTTTTGTTTTGTTTTTGGTATTTTTTTTTTTTTTTTGAGACAGGGTCTCACTGTCACCCAGGTTGGAATGTAGTGGCATGATCATGACTCACTGCAGCCTCCACCTCCCAGGCTCAATTGATCCTCCCACCTCAGCCTCCCGTGTAGATGGAACTACAGGTGAGCTTCACCACACCCAGATAATTTTTGTATTTTTTGTAGAGAGGGGGTCTCGTCATGTTGCCCAGGCTGGTCTTGAACTCTTGTGCTCAAGTGATCCTCCCAATTTGGCCTCCTAAATTGTTGGGATTACAGGCATGAGCCACTGCACCCAACCTGTAGCAGGTGTTTTAGATACATTTTCTCTTCTAATCTTCACTCAACCTTAAGAGACAGGCAATCATATTTATATGTTATTTCATTTTGCACACCCATCATTTTATTTTTTATTTTTTGTAGAGATGGGGTCTCACTGTGTTGTCCGGGCTGGTCTCAAACTCCTAGGGTCAAGCGATTCTCCCACGTTCGTCTCTCAAAGTGCTGGGATTACAGGTGTGAGCCATCATGCCCGGGCAACTCATCACTTTAAACCCAAGCAAATGGAGGCTTGGAGATGTGAAATCTAACTTGCCCAAAGTTATACAGCTAGTGAGCCTAGCAAGACCCTTTCACTCTTCCGAAAGCAATGGACTATCCTTTACTTTTGTATGCTTTGACAATTCAACTCCAATCAGCAGGCATATCCTGGTAACCCCAGGCTCTGGGCATATCGGAGTCATCCTCACACTTTCACCAGATGTTATAGTTAAGCTCAGTTAGATCCCCACCCCACACCCCACCACCCCACCATCCCACCATCTCACCACCCCACCACCCCACACCTGGACGCTGCTGAAGCTATATTCTTTTCTCTGTCAAGACAATGCGTTTAATCCTCTGTTCTCACTGGATGCCTTTTGGGGGTCACAAACTCTTCTCTGGCTGCCCCTCCTGGACCTCCAAATGACAAGTTACTGAGTTTTCCACCCTTCTGCAAACTTTTCCTTGTTCTCATGGTTTTGTTCCATCTCTCTAGTCAGAACTTCAGCTGACACTCAAGGCGTATAAGGAACACTAGGGACATTATCTGCTCAGCACCCTTCCCTTCTCTTGGGAATCACAGCCCATCCCAGCCCCCTCCAGCCCTGTGGTCATAGTGTGAGCTGCCAGGCTCTTATAGGAACCCCACTCCTGGCCACAGCTGATTGGCCCAAGAGGGGCACATGGTTGAAGCCCCGCCAATTAAAGTTCTCCAAGTTTTTGGACTGGAAATGCAAGAGAATGTCTTTCTTTTATATCCTATAATCATATACAAATTGAGAGGATGCCATTATGAATTTTTCCATATTTCCTTTTTCCTGTTTCAAAGGAATTTCATTGCTTTTGTGTGTGAATAGTTTTTAGATTAGTACATCTTTCTTTTTTAATATATGGATTTCTGGGGTAGTCTTTTCCCTCTTCACAAACTATACATTATCACATTTCTTCACATTTTTAGGCCAAAGGTGGCCAGGTCGGCCCTATTGAAGAGAAAAAGTTTAAGATAAAATTTGATTCTGATTTTCAAAAAAATCTAAGGGACTGTGGCCATGTGTCCTGGCTTGGGGAAGAAGCGGGTCTGCAGCTGGGAAGGATGAACTGGCATTGGAGAGACTCTAGAGGAGCTGCTCTCTGGGCCATTCCTGTGGGTTAGTTCCATGGATTCTGTGAGCCAGTAAATCCCTCTTCGTGCCTATGGGAGGCTGAGTAGTGTTTCTGTCACTTAAAAACCAGAGTTCTGATCGGGTTCCCTGCCATATAGCCTTTCCATACATTTCTTCCAGAGTGGCCAGGGCAACCCTCCAGAGAGTGAAGGCAAAGGGCAGCCAATGAATGTTCCTCCCCTGGAGAGAGAAGTCCCATAGGCTAAAGTCCCATCTTTAAAGATGATTCACAAATCACTCCTGTTTCCCAATCTTAGAAGTAGGCACCAGGCCAGGCACGGTGGCTCACACCTCTAATCCCAGCACTTTGGGAGGCCGAGGCGGGAGGATTGCTTGCACCTAGGAGTTCAAGACCAGCCTGAGCAATTTAGTGAAATCTTATCTCTAAAAAATAAAGATAAAAATAAGCAAATCCAGGCATGGTGGTGCTTGACTGTGGTCCCAGCTACTCAGCAGGTGGAGGTGAGAGAATTGCTTGAGCCCGGGAGGTCGAGGTTGAAGTGAGCTGTGTTTGCACCACTGCTGTGTTTGCCTGGGTGACACAACAACAAGACCTTGTCTCAAAAAAAAAAAAAAAAAAAGGAAAAAAGAAATAGGCACCACAACCAATCAGAGACCCAGATGTCACACTCTCCCCTTTCTTTTACCATCCATGTCTAGGCCATGAATGAGTCCTGGCAATTCTGTCTCCCTAAATTATCTCAAATCTGACCACCTCTCTCCATCTCTGTCACTGCCCTGGGCTCACAGCATCCTCATCGCGGCTCTGAACCTCTGCCGTGACTTCTACCTGGGCTGTTCCCTGAGCACGTGCATTCTCCACAAGCCAGCACAAGTGTCCTCAGCATGCCCATGGAGATCAAATCACATTGCTTCTTTTCTTAAAGTGCCAAGACTTTCCACCTCCCATTGCATCTGGAATAAAACCTCCCGTTCACACACACCCATTTGCCCTGCTAAATCCACGGTGGTCTCCCTCCTGTACTTCCAACACAGTCCCTTTTCTCCCTCCCCAGGACACTGGCCCTGTCCTTCCCTGGGCTTGGAGCTCTCTCCCCTCACGGAGAGTCCAGCTCCTTCTCTTTGCTTAGCTCTCACAGAGTCCATCCCGATCCTCCTTCCTAAAGTAAGCCTTCTCCCCAGTTATTCTGTGACCCTGTCTCTTGTTTGTATTCATCACAGCATCATTACAACCCAAGTTATTTTGTTTGTTTCCTTGCTTGGAGTCTGCCCCTCTCACTAGAATGTAAGCTCAGTGAGGGCAGGAAATGGGTCAGCCTTGTTCCTAACATAGCACTTGGTACATAGATGGGTTTGAGAATTTTTATTGCATGACTAAGTGAGTAGTTGAAACCAGGCAGGGAGGCAAATTATCCCCATTCCACAGAACAGAAAGTTGGGGCTGGCACAGAACCAACAAATAGCAGCAAGGGGTCTGAAGCCCGGGTGTGTGTGAGGAGAGAGCCTCTGTGCTTTCCAGAACAGCCAGCATTTGTGTCACGTTTGAATTTACAAAGCAAGCCCATGCCCGTTATTTTAATTGATGTTTCCCACTCAGTTCATTCTCCCAATCTTATAAATGAGGAAATGGGAGCTTGGAGGGGACTCATGCATGGCTGGTCCAAGGGGCTCTGCCTTCAGTGGGAACTTCTGGGGTCTCACAGGTTTCTGGTGCCCCTAAGCCTGTCATGATTGGAGGGACTCAGCCGAACTCCCCCTGCCCAACCAGGATCCCTGCCTACAGGGCACCACCTCCCTCTACCCCTGTGCAGCCCGCCTGCCTGTGTCTGTCACATCAAGTTCAAGTGATTCATGTGGCAGCAGCTCCTGGTCTGCCTGTCGGCACGTCAGCTAGTCCTGGTTACCATGACAACAGGATGCGAGGCACCAGGGCATCAGTGGGCTGTGGCTCTCTGAGGGGCAGTGCCATAGGCGAGGGAGGGGGCTTGTTTCTTCCTCCTGTGGGAAGCTTGGCAAGGGCTGCAGCCGCTGGGGGCTGGGTGGCCCCTCCCTGCCTCCGTGCCTTGGCATTTCCTTCCTGCCATCTGTGCTGGGAGCTGGGGGAGGGGCTGGAGTGCCGTCCCTGGTGGGAGGGGTCTGGGAGCAGATGGGTAGGAAGAGCAGCCCTTCCCATCTAGGCTACGCCCCCACCCCGGTTCCAAAGACTCTCCCAGGGCCCTCAGCACACCACAGCCTTTCTTTCCTTGGCATAAATGGGAAGTTCAAGACCCAGTGCAGTCAGAAAATTGGTCTCTGGTCTTGGAACAGAGCCTAGTGAGGGAGGAGGGGCTCTTCGCGGGAGGGTCCTGAGGGAGCTAACCTGCTCTGTGCCAGAGCCTGGCTGGGACCTTCTCTCAGTCAGTCTTCCCAGCAGCCCTGTGGCTGAGTGTCACCATATCCCATTTACAGAGGGGAGACTGTGCTTCAGAAATGACAGCTGGAAAGTGGCAGCACAAGGATTCAAACCCAGGTCCACCTGGCTCCCAACCTTGTTCTTGCTGGAACCCTTGCTGCTGCCTTAGAGAGGGAGGGACTCCTCCCTGCTCAGCCCCTCCATCTAGTCAGCCCACCCCTACCAGAGAGGTGAAGGCTGGGGGCGAGCCCCTGGAAGGAGCGCTGCTCTGCGATTCTGGTGCCTGGGTTTGGGTCACAGTTCTAGAGCAGGCTGTGAGACCCTGGCGGGTCTCGGCCCTGCTCCAGGCCACATTCCCTTGCCCAGGAACTTTGAGATGGCTGGAGGGGAGGTGAGGTGTTGCTCAACAGTGCATATGGGGCTATTGTCCTGTCCCAGGGAGAGGGCTGGGGCTGGGCCTAGGATAGGTGACAGGGACCGGGATGTGGCCAAAGAAGGAGTCTGAGTTAGCAGGAAGAGCAGTGGTTTGCATTCACAACGGGACGTCCGAATGGAACACTGCTCATTTGGAATTGCCTCTGAGAGTCATTGGTGCCCCAAACCCCCATGTTCTAAAGTGAGAGGCAGATCTCTTCAGGCCTCGCAAGACTGATGACCTCAAGCTGGTGTGGCCCATGGCACACACTTCTATGCTACCTTAAGGTAGGCGAGAGTGACAAGTGTGGGGAGGGGAAAGACAACAAGGATTCCTTGGTCAGTATGCTCTACCTGGGGAGGGGTGGGGTGTGCCCCCCTAACTACTCCCACCTTAATTTGGGTGAGGGGTGGTGCTTCAGGAGAAACACTGGCAAAAGCTGACAGAAGTGTTCCCTAGAATTTGCCCCTGGCTTGAAAAGAGTCTAGATGGGGGTGGTGGCTTGGAGCCCAGACTCCACCAAGCCCAGGTTCTTCCACGGGTCAGAGTATCCGTGGGTCAGAGTGGACGAGGCACACTGCACAGAAGGTTCTACCTGCCTTGCGAGGTGACTTCTTGGAGTCTGAGTGGAGAGAACCCCAGAAACAGGAGCTGGGGCAGGAACAGTGGGGTGATCTCTGCTGCAGACCCATTGCCCACGTCAGGGAAATGCCGGTTGAGAATCTCAGTGAGGGGCTCTGCAGAGGTCCCACAAGGAGTGCTCTGCAGAGAGGACCCCTAAGCCCTAAGCTTCCTGGAGGACCAGGCCTCCCAGCCCCATCACCTCAGCTTTCTCAGCCGTAGCCAGGCCTGGGCTAGAGAGAGGAAGGACTCTTTAGATTGAATGAGACATTGAAGTTTTGATGCTAGATGAGATTGGAAATTCTAACTCATCAAAATGAAATTGACAGTGCCTGAGAGTGCCCAGAAAAATGATGGGATCTGCCCCAGGAGCAGGACCCACAAGAGCAAGCTGTGAAGAAGCATCTTGGGCGGTGCTGAGGAAGAATCAAGGGGCTTTCCCATCTGGCCCTATTAGGGCCAGCCATTCCCGTAAGCTGGTCCCTTCGGTGGGTGTCCTGAAGAGGTGGCGATTTAACCCCTTTCCAGGCCCCTCGCCCTCCCGCTACTCCTCGCCTGTTTCCTCCCAGGACTGAGCCTAAACTAGGAGGGATCCTGGGGTGGCTGCCTCTCCCCTTCCACTGCCCCCCACAGGGCTCCTTTCGGCTCCCTCCCTGCTCCTCCATCCAGCCCCCAAATCCCCCAGCCACTCCTCCACTGGCCCTAGGTGGCTCTCCCTTTTTCCTCTTCTCCCCCTGCCCACTCTAGAGCTGATTTTGGCTTCTTGGACCTGAGTTCACCTTCGAAGTTGGGGCAGGCTGGGTCCCGTATTCACAAATGGACCAATATATCTAATGGTCCAATAGCCTCTGTTACAGATAGGGAGATTGAGGCCCAGGAAAGCAAGTGAACTTCCTAAGGCGATGCTGCAGCTATACTCCTGGCAGAGGCGGGTTAGAATCTAGGCCTTCAGCTCTTCTCCTGGGCTCAGCGGAGTATCTGGGGCTCCCTGGGAGAGATGGCTGGGCCAAGTCTTGGACAGATCCCACTCGCCACCCCTCCCTGCCTTGCAAAAGCACATCCAGAAAAATCATAGAGGACAGAGGGCTAGAAAGATCCCTTCCCAGGGGGCCTCAGGCTCCGTCGGCATTGGCAGAGATGTCAGCACCTGGCAGTCACCTACGCCCCATGCCCAGCCCTGAGGTTCAGTGGGCCACTGAGACCCTTGGGGAGCTGGCTGTCAGAGCAGCTTCTGCCAAGGGCTTCCGCAGTGCCTACTGCTGTGGACTCCAACCAGGTGGGGTTTAAAAGCACAATTCCTGGAGTTAGATCTGAGTTCAAGTCCTGTCTCTACTGGTTAGAGTTGTACCTCCGTGGGCAAATCATGCCACCTCTCTGAGCCCTGTTGTCTCACAGAAAGGAACAAGGCACTGGGATTCAGTAGTGAGGATAATGAACTGATGCACCCCAGGCAAGTATCCCAATGTCTGGCTTTCCAGGCATCTTCTAGTCCCCTGAAAGAGCTCTGTCATGGCAGACTTTCCTTGTGAACAGTATGGTGGAGATCCAGGGTTGTGGCTCCATCCATCCTTCTCATGTTCACCCTGCATGGAGCCCCCAGGGTCAACCCATCTATTTTAAAACTTCTTTTCCTCCCTCTGTCCCACCATTTCCATCCATTTTATCCCCCTCTCCCTTTTTCAGAAATGACATAATTAGAGGGGTTTAATGTTCTGCTGCTGAAATCTTCATTTTCTTGGGTAATTTCCACTATTTCATCAAGGAATAATTAATTGCATTGTCTTTAATCAATTGTTTGACAAATCCAGCAGCGGGAGGAATTCTCCCACCATCCCCGCAGCTGCTCTCCCCTCCTGGGTGAGGCGCCAGCTCATGCCAACAGGAGCGCTTGGCTGCCAGCGCTGGGGTGGGTGAGTGTAGAGGAGGGGCCCCCAGTTTCCCCAGCCTCCTGTGGGGGAGGGGAGCCCAGGCAGCCAGGAATCCACCCAGCAGCCACACGGGGAGCACCCAGCTGAGCTCAACTGTGAGCTCGGCCTCCTCAAAGCCCAGTCAGGTCGGCGGCGGTGGGGGGTGGGGGGATAGATCCCATTTAGCAGATGCAGAAGCTGAGGCTTGAGGAGGATCACAGGGACTGAGAGATGGAGAGGGACTCAGGTCTCTCGGGCTCTGAGACGCAAGACAGGGAAGATAAGATCCAAAACTGAATCTTAGAGATGGAGGCTGGTTACCAGTAACTGGTAACCGGGAGAGAGGAAAGAGGAGAAGGGAAGGACGTCCCCAGGCAGAGGGGGAAAGTGATAGTAGTAATAGCGAATGTTTTTATGGTACTCATGAAATGGCAGGTCCTGTTCTAAGTATTTTATCATCTCAATAACCCTGGGAGGTGGCCCCTCTTATAACCCCCGACTTACAGGTGAGGAAGCTGAGGCTCACAGAGGTTAAGTGATGTGCCCAAGGTCACACAACTAGTGAGGGGCGTAGCAGTTGTGCATTTATTCACGAACAGTGCTGCTTCCCCCAGCCACCCTGTGACAACAGACGAATCCTATTTCACTCGTGGAAAGCCCAGCCCCACTGTGGCCAACCACGTGCCCTCATGATCTCCCCTTCAAATGCCTCTTTCTCCTGTCCTTCCCACTGGCCCATTGCTCCAGCCTACTGATCTCCTTACTCTCCGCCCGCCCCAGGGCACTTGCTCCTCCTTCCAGGCTCTTCTTACAGGATTGCTCCCTGACTTTATTTACATATCTGCTCCAATGTCACCTTCCCAGGGGGACTCAGCCAGGCCCTCATCTCAATAAGTATCAGCCCTCCCTCTCCTTACGCTATTTTATTTGTCTTCCTGGTACTGATTCATGAATCTATCCATGGTGGGCGTTAGTGCTTTCTGCCAAATACGTCCTGCTCCCTATCTTCTGGGTATGAGTAGGACTGTACTTTCCCTCCCCTCAGAGATGAGTGTGACTTGTGATGGAAAGTGAAATAGGACAGACGTGTCCTGTATCATTTCCAGGGCTTCGGATGGGGCTTTTGGAACGATTGGGCCATTTGCCTTGTTCCCTGTTGTGGAAGTTGGGGATGGAGCCTCCTTCAGCCTGGGCCCTTAAATGAAGACAACATAGAGCAGACTCCCCTGCGGGGAACCCCCAAAGGGCATGCAATGTGAGCGAGAAACAATTTTTCATGGCTTTACACCACTGATCAAAAACATTGCCCATCTGACTGATCCATTACTTAATACATTCTCATTCATTTTTCTTTCTCCGTGAGAACAGGGGCTTTGCTGTGTTAGCCACCCTATCCCCAGTTCCTAGAGCATGGCCTGGCATGCAGTAGGTGACCAGTAGATATTTGTTGAATGAATGAATGAATGAAGATCATGTTCTCTTGTGCAGGACTTTGGCATTTACCAAGTTCCTACATCTATATTACTTTATCTTCCCTCCAGCACCATGATGTAAGAAATACTTCCATTTTATAGATTCTGGAGCTGAAACCCAGAGGGGTTAGTTGAGCTGTTCCTTGACATGCAGCTAATAGTGGAGGGACTTGAATCCACATGTCTTAGTTCACTGCTCCCCCTCCTGCCCCCATCCGTAAGGGGCCTGAGCTATTCCTGCATCCCCACCCGTACAGTGGTACTCTTCCCTTTTTCCCTTACACCAGGCATTTGGCCTCTGGTGGGAGTGTGTGGGAAGGGGTGTTTCCTTCATGTAGAACCCATAGGTCCAGAGTCTACCCCTTTCTCCTCCCTTGTGGAGTTACCTGCCCATGCATGGGGTCACCTGCCTGTAGGATTGCTCTGTTGATGAACATTTCACCCAATTGAACAACCCCTTCCCTTCCATCTCTTATCCCTGCACCTCTCATACCTGGAGTACAGCAGAGAATGGGAGGGTATGCAGAGCCCCTGCGCTCACGCCACGCTCCCCATGGGAAAGGCACTCCCAGATCTAAGTCCGGAATCATAACCCTTCCTTTCCACATGGCTCCATGAACTCGGTTATCTGGTGTTCCTGCCTCCAGTGGGTCAGGAATAATAATTAGAAGGATAAAGTGGGAACAAACACATGGGTACAGTGACAAGCTGAGACAGGAAGATCATAAAAACACGGAAAGACTGGAAGAACACGGACTTTGGGGCCATTTACTGCAGGGGCAAGGCAAGGGCTCTAAGCTCTTCAGTAAAGCAGGAAGCATCATTTACTGTAGCCCAGACATTAATTAAAGATCATCCCACAAGCTGCTTTCCTGGGAAGTTACTTGATCTCTGTAGCCTTGAGATCCCTCCACTACTGGATGATCTCCAAGGCTCCTTCACAAAAGCTCGGCATCTGTATTGACACAAATCATACAATCAGACAAGGTTAAGTCATGTCCCATGTACTGTTTTTAAAAAGCAGGGGAGTCTATAATACCTTTTAGCAATATATCCATTCAAAGTGGATTTTAAATGCATTGACTTTAAAGGTCAACCTAAAGGTCTTCCATTTTAAGAACTTGTATGGGCTTTGTATACTGGCCACTGAGCAAAGCACTGGCGATACAGAGAAAGACATATCCTGCTTTCGAGCTGTCAGTCTAGTGGGGTGCAAGGCATATAAACCGATCAGTGCAATCCAACAAGATGCAGTGGGGCCAAGAGAGATACTAGAGCTTTGTGGTGGATCAGAATGGCTGGGTCTTGACATATTGGTAGGAGTTTTCTGGGCAAAGAAGGGGAAGAATATTCAGATACAGAGAACAGTGTGAGCAAAGGCACAGAGGCATGAAAATCTCTTGTGTTCAGAAATTAGAGGTGGTTCAGTCTTAGTGGGATATTAGAGTTGAGACAAACAAAAACTAGAGATCAGGCTGGAGAGGTAACTGGGGGCAATGATAAAAGGTCTTAAATGCCAGTCCAAGGGGTTTGGACCTTATTCTGTAGGCAACAAGGGAGCCATGGAAGGCTCTAGAGCAGGAGCAACATGATCAGATCTATGTTTAATTTTAATTTTTATCTTTTTGAGACAGGGTCTTGCTCTGTTGCTCAGGCTGGAGTGCAGTGGCACGATCTTGGCTCAGTGCAGCCTCAGTCTCCAGGGCTCAAGCGATTCTTCTGACTCAGCCTCCTGAGTAGCTGGGACTACAGTGTGTGCCACCATGCCCCACTAATTTTCTTCTTTTTTTTTTTTTTTGTAGAGATAGTTTCACCATGTTGCCCAGACTGGTCTTGAACTCCTGGGCTGAGGCAATCTGCCTGCCTCAGCCTCTCAAAGTGCTGGGATTGCTGGGATTACAGGTGTGAGCCACTCTACCCAGCCCGGATCTATAGTTTAGAAAGTCCTCCCTCCAGCAGTCAGTGTGGAAGATGGATGGAGAAAAGATATTGGCTTGGGACTGCAGTCATCTGCAGGTTCACCTGGGTGAAAGCATCTGCTTCTAAGATGACTCATCACACACCTGCAGGCTGGAGCAGCTTGCTGGCAAGAAGCCTCATTTCCTTTCCACTGGGCTGCTTGAGTCTCCTCACAACATGGCAGCTGGCTTCCCCCAGAGAAAGTGATTTAAGAATGAGTGAGACGGAAGCCTCACTGTCCTTTTGCGACCTAGCCTAGGAAGCCACACTCTGTCACTTTCATAATATCCCATTGTGTACAAAGATCAGCTCTGTTCAATGACTACACAGGGATGCAACTACCAGGTGATGACAAGCACCGGGGACTTCTTGGAAGCTGCTACTACAGACAGAGGTCATCTTCTTCAACTCCTTTGTTTTTTGGATGAGGAAGCTGAGACCCAGAGATGGGTGGGGACTCACTCAGGGGCACGTAGCAAGTTTGGGCCATGACCAGGGCTACATGGTGGAGTCTACATAGGCCTGGGGGACTGGGATCTTCTTTCCTGGAAGGCCTAGAAGGAGGAGAGGCCCAGGCCAGGTGTGGTGGCTCATGCCTGTAATCCCAGCACTTTGGGAGGCCAAGGCGGGCAGATCACTGGAGGTCAGGAGTTCAAGACCAGCCTGGCCAACATGGTGAAACCCCATCTCTACTAAAAATACAGAAATTAGCCTGGCATGGTGGTGGGCACCTGTAGTCCCAGCTACTCAGGAGGCTGAGGCAGGAGAATCACTTGAACCTGGGAGGCAGAGGTTGCAGTGAGCCGAGATCGTGGCACTGAACTGCAGCCTGGGCCACAGAGCAAGACACTGTCTAAAAAAAGAAAGAAAGAAAGAAAGAAAAAGAAAAAAACAAGGAGAGGCCATCAGGAGGCGGATTCAGCCCCTGCTCACTTGGGAGGCTGAGGGACTGGCCAACCTCTCTGAGAGCTGGCTGGGGAGTGGGACCTCCTCCCTAGCCTGTCCCTGGAGTATGAGCACCAAGCCAGGGCTGCTTCCGCCTGACCTGGGCAGCATCTCCCACCCTCCCCACCATGCAGCTCTTTGGCTGTGCAGGTGTGGAGGAGGCACATCTTGCTGGTTCATCTCTCCACTCTTTATTTATTCAACAAGGTTTTACCAAAAATCTCCTATGTGTCTGGCATCTCCAGGACCAATGTTGGACATACATGTCCCTTGACTTCATGCATGAAACTTACCATCAAGTGGGGTAGACCAACAAAGACATAAAGACATATGTTTGTACAAATTGTGAAACGTGCCTGTAGGAGAATAACAAAAACACTTCATTTAGATGAGGTAGTTGGGGAATGTTCTCTGAGGCAGTGACATTTAGGTCTAGACCTGAAGAAGTCAGGCAGACAAAGAGTTTGGGTGACAGGGTGGGAAGGGTGTTCCAAGCACAGGGACCCCAGTGTGCAGAGTTGGCTAGGAGGGGTGAGTTGGGGCAGTGGACCTTCAGGGGTGCCCTGAGCGAGTTGGAGCAGGGCGAAGGGGCTGATGTGGAGAGGCCAGGGCCGGTCTGGGCTTGCCCTGCCACCAGGCTAACCTCAGTCTGCCTGCTGCATAGCAAGTGACCCCACGTGGCTCTGGAAAGGAAAACATGGGGAGTGGCATGCAGGCTGGACTGTCACCGAGATGGCCCTGAGCAGGACCCTTCGCCCTACAGGATGAACAGGCAGACCTTGCAAAGGACAGAGATAAGGCAGGTCTTTCAGCAGGCTGCTGCCAGGAAACTCGGGTGTGGGTGGAGGCAGGGGGCGTGGAAAGGGGACTGCATGGGAATTTGGGGCCCCAGAGCTCTGGTGGAGAGGAGACCCCAAAATGTCAGAGCCCTAGGATCATGAGCCTCCCCTGGGGAGCATCCCAATGCATTTCTTGTTCCCTGTGGCCTCAGGTGTGGGTGACGCCTGAGCTAAGCCAACTCTGGCACTGTCCTGCTGTGTGACCTCAAGGAAGCCTCTCTCTCTCTGAGCCTCAGTGCCCTTCACTGTCAAAAGGGCATTAAAATCCCCTTGCAGAAAGTTGTCAGGATCAAAAGATATAATGGATAGGAAAGGGTCTTAGTGGTTGAGAAGTGACCCTCCCAACCCCCACGAGGCTGCTGGGTTCATCGTTGCTAATGAACTGGTTGGGGGCTGGCTTGGACGCCCATTAGCCACTGCTCTGCCTCGGTGCCCCAGGCCAGCTGAGAGCAGGCAGGGGCTGCTCCCACCAGGGGGCTGTGGGGTTAAGTGGGAGCTAAGAGGATTAGAGGGTCCTTGTGAGTGGTGCAGCGTGATCATCTCCCACTCACCCTTGCCTCCAGCCTGGGCTGTCTACATATCTGGCTGCGGGGCCAAGGAAGAGGGATGGAGGGAGGAGGAGGGAAGGAATCAAAGGGAAGAGGGATTCAGAGGAGCCAGGGAGATCTGCTGCACCCCCACGTTCATGCACATGCACAAAAAGTACACGCACAAAAAATACACACACAACTACACACAAGAGCACATAAACACACACGTATGCAGTGTGCATATAGGTGTACTCGCAAGGATACACGCATGCATACATATTGCACACACATGCACATGAGTGTGTATGCAAGTACATATGCATGTGACAAGCATACAGCATACATGTGCACAGACACATGTGAGCACACATGCACATGCCCCGCACACCTGTGCATACTCACATGCATGTGTGGGTGTGCACAAACACACGTACACACTGGCCGGGTCATGCCCTCCCCCGCTACCCCAGTCTCTCACGCAGTTTGAGACCCAAGGCCTCACATGTCCCCAGGTCATAACTGCACTTCGGATGCTCCTTCAGTGTTACATCAATGACACACATAGCCTGTGACTTGCACAATGTCTCACAATGCTAGAAAGGGCCTGAGCCAGGATCTAAACTCATTTTGGAGGGTGGCGGGTGTGCCTGTATGGAGGGATGGAAGGTGAATCCAGGAGACCCCAAAGGGCTGCAGCCCCAGGAGCAGGAGGGGGCTGATGCTGGTAGAAAGAGATATTACACACCTGGCATGGAACTGCTCGGACATATGGTTACCAGTGCCCACCCCCCAGGCTGGCACATCACCTGCCCTCTGCTTCTCTCTCCTTTTAGCTCCCTGGACCCAGTCAGAGAGCTTCTAGCCAAGGGCCTGGTGTCTCATGAAGCGAACGGAGATCAGGCTGGCTGGGTGCCTGGTGCCCCTGAAGGAAGGAGGAAGGGAGCTGGCATCTGTGGAGGACCACTTCTGACCAAGACTGCCTAGTGAATGCTGGCCACTTTCATCTTGTTAAATTTTTAAGTGAAAGGTCAAGGGACTTGCAGGGTTCATGGGGCTGGAGCAGGACAAGGTGGGCCTTGACCTCAGGCATCCATCTCCATATAGCCATGGGCATGGCTGGACAGACATACAGGTTGGAGTGGCCTGGGCACAGCTGCCAACAGCAGCCCCCCCACCCAGCCCCGACTGCCACACTGCATGTGCTGTCCCTGCTGAGGCTGGGGGGAATGAGAAAGTGGAGTGAAGGCATGGAGAGGGCCTGGGTAAGGGGCTCGGGGCTGGACACCCTAGGCATAGCCACAGGTCCTTGAGCTCCAGAGTATCCTGGTGATGCCTGGGGCAGTTCTTGGGTCTCCCCCAAGAGACTGCTCTGGGGCAGGGTGAGCGAAGTCTCCCCCACTGGATGGCATGCTCTGAGGCTTCCTGGAGTTGTCCCCTGTGGCCTGCCAGGGGCCTGGCCGGTGCTGCAGCCTGAGATTTACAAGCCAGCCTGAAGGCGCAAACAATAAATCAAGCTTGAGTCTGGCCGTGGACTTGTCCTCCCACTGCCTTCCAGGCCTCTCACCTGCCATGTCCAAGCCAGGCACTAGAGCTGGGATGGGAGCATCGGGGAGGAGCCCTGGCCCAGCCTCCACCTTCCTGCTTCTCCCTGTGAGACCCTCTCTCTGGGTTTTCCAGGTACTGAGGCCTGGAGGTTAAGGGCTGGGGCTCTTGAAGCTGTCAGCCTGGGTCCAAGCACCAGAGCCCCTCTATTCCTGGTTGGGGAGCTTGTGCAGAGGCATAGCTCTGAGCATCCATTTATGGGGATAATGGTCACACCAGCACCAGGTGCCCTTGTGGGTTTGCTAAGGTGCTTAAAACAGGGCCTGGGAGGTAAGTTGCTCTTACCTGAGTCCCTAAAACAGAACAGAGGGACAAGGGTGTGGCTTTGCCTGTGCCCCAGGGTTTATCCCTCATTGTGTCTGTCCAAGTGCCTTGGGGAGAGGTCAGGGCAGCCCTTTCCCTAGAGGCTGCTGTGAATCACTGGGCTCAAAGCAGGGCCAGGACAGGGCTGACTGGGGAGGTGCTGGGAGGTGCCCCCAGCCACAGCCCTGCAGGCTCAGGGACAGGAACAGTGATAGAAACCAGCCTTTCCTGTCCCCTCTTCCCACTGTGGCTTTTCCTCCTCTGGACAACCCTATGAAGCAGATACTGTCCCTGTTTAAAGATGAGGTTGCTGATCTCATCCTTAGATGAGGGAGAAGAGGAGGTATGTGACTTGCCCAAGGTCACACAGCTCGTAAAAGGCAGGTGGAAATTTGAACCAGCCTCTCTGGGTTTTAGTGTCTCTCAAGAGCACACCAGGCCCAGTGGCTGGGACAGGACAGGACAGGGTGCTGGGAGTTGGTGAGGCCTGGCAAACCACAGGTGCTCACCAAGTATCATTCCCTCTGCCTTCGGAGGCTAGGGAGAGGGATGAAGGGTGCCTCTTCACTGCACAGGGGCCTGTAGGATGCCCAGCAGGGGCCCACCAGGGCTGAGTGGGGCGGGAGCTCAGGGAGGTTGGTGCCCCAGGTGAGTCCCAAGCCCTGCCCTGGAAGAGGCTCAGGAGATAAGCTGGGGCCCTAGGGCCGCATCTCCTAGCAACATGGCCTTGGGGACCCTGCCTGTCTGCCTCAGGTGCCCCAGGGAGCCCAGCTCAACCGCCATCCCCAGGTGTCTGGCTGAGGAACCTGCTGGGTGGGGGCGGAGCAGAGGGCGAGTGCCAAGCCTGGGCTTAGCCCCCAGGACAGGGAAAGAGGGTCCCCTCCTCCAGCCAAGGGTGAAGCTTCTGGGGTGTGGGGGGCTGTGGGGCTGAGAGGGGAGGGGTTTTCCTCTTCCCCTTCCAGCCGTCTCTCTGTGTCTGTCCCCATCTCTCTTCCTAGTGTGCTCCCTGCATCTGGGAGCTCTCCCTTCTCCCTTCCTCTGCCTCCTGCGGCCGCCCTCACTCCCCCACTTCTCCCTCAGGGTTCGGTTTCTCTGTCTGTCCGTCTATCTCTCTTCCTGTCCCACCCGTCTCTTCCGAATGTCTCTCCCACATCTCTCTCGTGCCCCCGCCCTGTTTCCCGTGTTGCTTTGCTCTGCCTCCCTCTGCCCCCCGCCCCCCTGGCTCTCTCCATCCCTTATGCTGAGGCCTCCCCACCCTCACACTTGTGGCTTCCCCTGTCTCCTGCAGCCTTCAGGGAGCCAGGGAGGCAGCGTAGGTGCTGGTACCCCAGCCTCGGTTGGGAGTCATACCACGGATGCTTAGGGGGTGTGCAGGGAAGCCAGCCTGAACAGGAAGACAAAAATTCACTCATGACCTGGGGCTGATCTTGCCTTCTCTTGGGCCTCAGTTTCCCCATCTGTGAAATGGGTCTAATGGCTTTGGTAGGAAGTATCCGTGTTCTCTAGGCTGTTGTGGATCACAGGCTGTGATAGAAATGGACAGAATGTCAGGCTGAGGTGGTGTAGGGCATCTTCTGGAGAAAGGGCTGTGGTGGTGGAAGCCCTTCTGGAGGATGGAGGCTCATCCTTGTCCTTCTGGCCGGCAGGCTTTGGCTGGCACTGCCCTCCTCCCTCAGGAGTGGTCTTCCTGGGGTGAGTCAGGGAGGCCTTGGCGCACTTGGCTGCATCATGGTGCCCTCTGGTGGCATGCGGCAGAAACTGCTGCCACATTTTGCTCTGCCCTCTGGTCCTGGGCGGGTGTGGACTCCAGGGCTTGCTGAGTGACCCTGGGCCCTGGGAATGCCAGTAGGAGCTAAACTCTACTGTGCACTAGGTGAGTGCCAGGCTTCTCTGCACCACAACTGCTTCTGTGCACTCTCCTATTTCGTCTTCACCCTGCCCCACTATTATCCCCATCTTACAGATGGGAAAGTTGAGACCCAGGGTTTTAACCCAGGCAGTTGGCTCCACAGCCAGCACTCTTGACACCACACTTGGAATTCTGCCTCTAAAATGACTCCAGCAGATGCTACAATCCCACTATCAGTGAAGACCCATTCTTTGGGGCTATTTATTTGTCTAACAAATATGTATTTACACTTGCTATTTTCAGAGCCAAAGGAGCTCACAGAATGCACTTAGCCTGATTGTGTCACTTTACAGATGGTGAAACTGAGACCCAGAGAGGGGGAGTGACTGTCCCATGGTCACATGTGTGAGTATGAGGGTGTATGGTAGGACTAATGGATGGCAGTGCGATTGTCAAGCCCAGCATGTGTGAGGCAGTGTGGGACGGGCATAGGAGACAAAACACGATGAGTGCAGTGTTCTGGGGTGAGGGAGGCCACAGTGGGTAGGAGCTAGGGGCCACCCCACCCTAAGTGGGAAGCACCGCTGGAGGAAATGCATGGGGCAAGGGTGGGTGTGAGCTTGGATATGGGCGTGGCTGGGGTCAGTGTCTGAGCTGTGTGAGGGAGAAAGCGGAAGGGAAATGTCTAGGAGCCAGTGGGAGCCACTGGAGGGGGCCACAGTTTCCCAGCACCTGCCTGGTGCCAGGCAATGCAAGGAGTAGGACAGCCTGTCCTCATGGAGCCTGCATTCCAGGGGCTGAAAGCACAGATCACTCCAGAAACAGGCCTCTCACATCCCATCCATGGTGATGGACTCAGAACAGTGTGGGAGGCAAGGCAAGGGGTCTTGATGGGAGCTCCCTGGGGTGAGTGAAACGGTCTAGAGCTTAGCCTGGGGGGTAGTGACCCGGAGGGTTCAGAGGTAGAAATACATCGAGCTGTTCACTTCAAAATAGTGCCCCTTACTGTATGCAAATCTTACCTCAATTAAAAAAGAAGAAAACAAAAAAACCTAGCCTTCTGCTTTGGGTGGGAGGGAAAGTGGGAGTGGCCAGTAATTGTGGCCTGGGTGGAGAGGACCTAGACAGAGAGGTGCTGGCAGAGAATTCTACGGAAAGTTTGCTGGTGGGAGTGAAAGCTGGAACTCGGCTCTAGGTTTCTGAGGAGCCCCAGGGGATGAAGCTGCAAAGATGTGGGGAGGCTCAGGGATCCTGGGGCATCCCATCTCTGGAAGAGCCTCCCCTCTGCAGAAGTGGCAAGAAGCCCTCCGAGAGTGTGGGTCTGGGATGCTTTTTGTCAAATCTGCAGGTGCCTGGGTCCGCAGTCTACTCCTCTGCTGGGGGTGGAGGGGATCCCCTAGATCTACATTTTCACACATTCCCAGGGTAATTTTGACACTGTCAGCTGCACACCAGTATTAGGAAATCACAGCCTGAGGTTCCTTCCAAGCCCTGGCTTCTGTGAATCCAGATTCTGAGATTTCCTGCACTGGAAAGTCATTTTAGCTAGGCCAGCACTGCCACCGCTGGCCATGGCGAGGCTGAGTCCCAGGGAGGGGAAGTGACGTGCCCATGGACTCACAGCCAGCTTGCATCCAGAGCTGTAACCGGAACCCTGCCTAGGCTGCCAGGCCAGGCTCCCAGCCCCGGCCCGGTCAACTTTGTCATGCCCAAGGAATTCCCAGCTGTCAGAGATGGGCGGGGACCGTAGGCAATGGCAGGGAGCCTGGCAGCTGTAGGTGGGCCCCACCCACCCTCCAGGTGCCCCAGGTCTCCCGGGTTGGTTGGGGGCCATCTCAGGCTGTTGGCTGCTCGGGGCTCAGGCCCACCTCCTGCCTCTGTGGCCCCAAATAGAGCTCCTGGGGGCACTTGGCCACCAGGGGAGGAGAGCAGAACCCTGACTCTGTTCCTAGCAGGGGGAGGACCTGTTGAGTCCTGTCATGTGGGAGTGCCACCCCAAACTCCTGCCTGCAGAACCTCATTGGGATGCTGGTGGCACAGGCTGAGCCGGCAAGGTCACTGGAGAACAGAGCGAGGGTGAGGGCGTCCACCGCCAGCCTGGCACTGCCCCCACTGGCGCCTGTTGGGTCTGAACCTCTGCCTAAGGCAGTTGCTTGCACCTGGCCTCACCTCTGCCAGGGCGTCCTCTGCCAATGACAGCCCTCCCTTCTGTTTTCTCTCCTCCTTCCCTTCTCTACCCCTCCCTCTTCCTTTTCTTGCCTACAGGATTGGGGCCCCATCTACTCCTCTTCCATCCTGAGCCCTTTGGAGACAAGCCGACCTGGTTTGAGCCCCAGCTCCTGCTCCTTCTGCTGCTTAGCTCTGTGACCTTTGGCAAGTTGCTAAACCTCTCTGAGTCTCAGTTTACTTATCTGCAGAATGGGGGGTAATAGATCCTATCTCATGAAGGGCTCGTGAGGATCTTTAAACTGTCTAACCTTGGTTGGGCACTTACTCTGTGCCAGGCACTGTGTGTGTGTTTTACCTGAGTTATCATCCTCATTTTATAGACAGGCAAAATGAGGCTCAGAGAGAGGGGGCAGGCTTGTTCCTGGTTGCTCAGCTGTACGTGCAGAGTTGGGCTTTCTGGATCTAAGATCTATGTTCTTCCCTAGGCAGGTTGGCACTGAGGGAGCAGGCAGGGCCATGGGCAGAGCTGTGACCTCACCACATAGGGAGGTGCTGGGCCTGGGTCACATGCGTAGAGAGATTACGATCCTGGGTGTTGTGAGTCAGGTATCGTCTCCATCTGTAGAATGAGGAAAGTTGTAACCATCCCTAGGTGCGATACCTGAGACTGGATCCAGCTTCCTGCAGTCTCCCTTGTCCAAAGCAGGGACTCTTGAGTTCCGTCAGTAGAAGGGGAGCATGACTCTGTCTTATGGAGACAGTCATACATAGCAAATGTTGACTGTAACCACTATCACAAGTCCTGAGATCTTTGCCTGAGGGATGAAAATGGGGGCGCACAGAATTTTAAGTCCTCACTTAAGGACTTGAACTTACCCCTCCTGAGTAGTACATAGTAGCCCCATCTCCAGAGGAAGAAACTGCTGCTCAGAGTGAGGCCCAGCTTTGTCCCAATCACACAGCCCAGTGGTGGGCAAGGTCCTGCCCCCTCCCAGCAGGCCTCAGAGGGAAGGCCAGGCTGGCTCTCTCCCCATCAGCGGCCGCCTTCATTAGCATTCCGAGGTGCACTGCCCAAGTTGCCATTATGTGGTTGGGTAGATTCACATCTGTAGGTTCTAATTCACCCTAATTGACCCTGCAGGGAATCTTCCAAACTCCTGGGTTTTTACAGCTTCTTGGAGTTTTATTTTGGCTTTTGAAAAATAGTGCATTCATGCCAAACACACAGGGCTATAAATCGATGCTGCTCTGATTGATAAAGTATAAAAAGGCCAGCATGCTGCGTGGCCAGGCCCTGGGTTGTCTGTGTATGTGTACATGCATGCATGTATGTATATGTTTGTATATATGTGTGGGTATATATGTGTGTGTCATAGCAACACATAGAAGCTGGCCTTCATTGAGCATTTCTGCGTTGAGCTCTGTGCTAAGCACTTCACAGGCATTAAATACAATCGCCCAGGGTCCAGCTGCTACTAATTGTCTGATCCAGAGCCCAGCTTGGCCAGGAATAAGAAGGTCAGGGCAGAGTCAGTGAGCTCATTTTGGTTGTGGCAAGTCTGAGGTTCTTCTGGGATATTCAGGGGAGGGAGCCTGGTAAGCTCTGAGGCTTACCTGCTATTTCACTTCAAGCAAATCGGTTACCCTCTTTGTGCCTCAGTATCCCTTCTACAAAATGGGGATAATCAATCACAGTACCTACTTCACAGGGTTGTTGTCAGGCTGTCTGCCTCTTGGTCAGGGTGAGAATGGAAAAGCACTCCCTGTATTTAACAACAATGTGTTGAGTGACTCAGTAAGAACCATTTTGGTGGAATACGGGGTGGACAGCAGCAGGCCTGGGAAGCAGACGGCAGGTGCAAGAGTGAGACTGGTCATAAAGGTAACCCTGGAATATGTTTTGCTGGGAAGGGGGAAGAAAGATGGGTCCTGGTTGGAGCCAAGTGTAGGGCTTCAGAAGGGTTTTTTTTTTTTTCTTGTTTGTTTGTTTTTTGAGATGGGGAGTCTTGCTCTGTCGCCCAGGCTGGAGTGCAGTGGTGCCATCTCAGCTCACTGCAACCTCTGCCTCTAGGTTCAAGTGACTCTCCTGCCTCAGCCTCCCAAGTAGCTGGGATTACAGGCACCCGCCACCACGCCCAGCTAATTTTTGTATTTTTAGTAGAGATGAGGTTTCATCATGTCGACCAGGCTGATCTTGATCCCGCCCACCTCGGCCTCCCGAAGTTCTGAGAGTGCCTGAGCCAGGCTGAGGTGCAGTGGTGCCATCTTGGCTCAATGCAGCCTCAATCTCCTGGGCTCAAGCGATCCTCCTGCCTCAGCCTCCTGAGTAGCTGGTACTACAGGCAGCTGGGACTATAGGCATATGCCACCACGCCCGGCTAATGTTTTTGATTTTTAGTAGAGATGAAGTCTCGTTTTGTTGCCCAGGCTAGAGCATGTTTCTTGATGCAGGGAAAGAGAAGGTGAAGAAGGGGGATAGATGGGAGGAGGGAAGGGTGGAGTCCAGGGCTCAGGGCACAGATGGGCTCCTCGGGGAGGGCCGGCTGGTTTATCCCATGGTTGCATCTTTGCAGAGTGGCAGGGAGACTTTTGCAGGGTGGGTGCCCAAGACTATCGCTATAGAAAGGCTCCTTGGGGTCCAGGTTGGAGAGGGAGGGAAGTGCCCCCAGGAGGAGAAGGAAGGTGCTGTGATGAGGTCAGAGAGCGAAGGAGGGCTAAGTGAAGGAGGGCCATGGATACAGGCCAATATGGGGTTGGGAGGATATGGGGTGGGGGAGGTAGTTCTGAGTGAGGATACCCAGGCCATGGCATGGGTGGGGTTGGCTGGGCCAAGTACAAAAGAGGGAGAGAGTTGTTGGTGATGAGGGAGAAGTAGGGGGTTGGCCAGGTCGTCAGGGGTCCAGGGAACTCCCAGGATGAAGGCAGGTGTTGGTGGAGAAGGCCAAGTCAGGCCTCAGGTCCTGGGGGCGTGGAGGTGTGGAGGGAGGCGCGGGGAAGTGGAGGAGGTGGCTGAGGGACGGGGAGAGGGAGGGCGGGGCTGAGGATGAGGGGTTCTTGCCCCAAAGTGGTGGCAGGGTGTCCTGGCTTGCAGCTTGAAGGGTTTTTATATTTTTGGCTTCTTGATGGGAATCTGGAATTAGTGATGGAATTGTGTCATGGATCAGGATTCTGTATTCACAGGGCCCTTAATGGCCCACGTTGCCCTGAATGAGTCCCCTGCTGTCTTGTCTGACTTCTCCTCTGGGTGAAGTCTACGGGGCTGGGCTATGTTGTCATTTACCTCTGCCGCCACCGAGCAGGCGAGAAAACCGCATCGGATGAACAGTTGGAGAGACGTGGCTAGGAGCTCCTTCCTGGAAAACAGTCTCCAGGAGATGTAGCATGGTGAGGGGATTGTGGGTTCCCAGGGCCAAAGTGTTCCAACCAGAAGCTGTGTGGCCTCTGGCAAGTTCTTTTCTTCCTTCTCTGTAACCCAGGGCACAGTGATGCTTCATGAGAGCGTAAAGTGTGTGGCAGTGGGTTCCTTCTTGTTAGTGATTACTATTACTCAGTGCTGACCAGAGAGAGGCCTGGTCTCTGTGGCAGAGGGGGTCCCTGGAGGGGCCCAGGACCAGGGTTTTGTCCCTGCTCTGAGCACTTGGGTGCTGGTAACGCCACAGGTTGTTTCTGGTGCTTTCTCCAAAGCTCTGTGGCAGACAGAACCAGGGGCATCACTGGCTCCATGCCTACCAGCTGTGTGACCTGGGCAAATCCCTGTAGGCACAGAGCTGCCTCCTTACTTGTAAAACACTGATTATTAATAATACCTCCTTCACTTCATTCATTCATGTGTGTACTCAGCAAATATTTCCTGAAGCAAGGTAGTGCTGCCATCAGATGAAAAGAGATGAAGAGTGGCTAAGGGGTTGCCTGGGGGCACACACAGGTAGTCTGCCCCCTCCCGCAAGATTCAGCTCCAGTTCAACCCCAACTACTCTCAGCCCCTGAACCCCACCTGGAGGCCTCTTGGCCGCGGCTCCCTGCTGGTTGAAGCTCAGATGCCCTCTTGTGGCCGCGGCCCCCTCGCACGTCGCCCTGCGCCCGGGGACCGGAATCCCCGACAAGGGGTGGTCAGCTCAGCGGCAGCACTGGACCCTCTACCTGCCCCCGCCCCCCGATTGTACGGAAGTCTGCAGCGTGTCTCAGGCCACACTGCGAGTTGGGGGTGGCCCTGGCCGCCAGCCTGGTGTCCTTGCCTGGAGGAAATGCGAGGTGTCAGATGACCCTGCCCGCCCTGCCCCTCCCAGGCCACCCTCGCAGAGGACGCCTCTCCCTGGCAGGACACCCTAGGGCCGTCTGGGCCCAGCATGCCCGCTGGCTCGTGAGCTGGCCCTGGAAACTAGCGGCTGGCGCAAGTGGGCGTTCGGCGGCACTGCTGGCTGCCAGCTGCCAGCCCCACACCCCACAGGCCCCTGCCTGGCCAGCCCCGGTGCACTCCTGGGATGTCCCCTGCAGGCCCAAGTGTCTCAGGCCCAGCCGCTGCCTCGGGGCTGTGTGCCGCTGGCAGGACACACAGCCTCCCGAGCTCAAAAAGCGGCTCTGCCCTTTCTTCTTAGGTTCAGGCTAAGGCCGGCTGTGCCGGAGGGGCACAACACCTGAGTGGAGATGAGCAGCCCAGGGGCGCCCTGCTGGCCCGCACCCTGCCCAGACCACATGAAGGCGAAGAGGTTGCTGAGTGAGTGGCGGGGGTGTGGGATGGAATTGTGTACGTGGTGTGGTGTGTGTGTGGCGTGTGTTGGTGCGTGTGTGGTGTGTGATGTGTGGTCTATATCTGTGTATGTGGTGTCTCTGTGTAGTGTATATCCATGTATGTGGTGTGTCTGTGTGTGGTGTGTGTGTGCATGTGTGTTTTGTGTGTGTGCTGTGGTGTGTCTGTGTGTGTTGTGTGGGTGTGGTGTGCCCTATGTGTAGTATGTGTGATGTGTGTGTGGTATGTCTGCGTGGTGTGTGTACATGTGTGTTGTGTGTTATGTGCGTGTGTGTGGTATGTGTGGCATATAGCTATTTGTGGTATATGTGGTGTGTGTGGTGTGTGTGTGTGGTGTGTGTGTGCGCACGTGTGTTGTGTATGTGCATGTGTGTTGTGTATATCTATGTATGCTATGTGCTGTGTGTGTCTGTGTGTGGTATGTCTGTGTGGTGTGTGTACATGTGTGTTGTGTGTGTTATGTGCGTGTGTGTGGTATGTATGACGTATAGCTATGTGTGGTATGTGTGGTATGTGTGGTGTGTGTGGTGTGTGTGTGCATGTGTGTTGTGTATGTGTGGGTGTGTGGTGTGGTGTATATCTATGTGTAGTAAGTGTGGTGTGTGTGTCTGTGTGTGGTGTGTCTGTGCATGTGTTGTGTGTGTGGTGTGATGTATATGTGTGGTGTGTGTGTCTGTGTGTGGTGTGTCTGTGTGTATTATGTTATGTATGTTGTGTGTGTGGTGGGTGTGGTGTGGTGTGTGTGTGCATGTGTATTGTGTGTGTGATGTGGTGTATCTGCATGTGTTGTGTGTGTGGTGTGGTGTATATCTATGTGTGGTAGGTGTGGTGTGTGTGTCTGTGTGTGTCTGTGTGTGGCGTGTCTGTGCATGTGTGGTGTGGGTGTGTGTGGTGTTTGGTGTGGTGTATAGATATGTGTGGTGTGTGTGTGCATGTGTGTTATGTGTGTATGTGTGGTATGTATGCATGCATGTATGTATGTGTGTGCATGTATGTGTGTGTATGTGTGTATATGTTTGCGTGAATATATATCTGTGTATGCAGGCATGTGTTTGTATATGTTTGTGCAAGCGTGTGTGCTAGTATGTGTGTGTGCACTTGCTGTGTACATATGTGTATGTGTGTTTGTGTGCATGTGTGTGTGCATATGTGTATATGTGTTGGTGTATATGCGTGTGTATGTGTGTGTATGTGTATATGTGTCTATATTGTGTTTATGTATGTGTGTATTTGTGTATGTGTTTGTGTATATGTGTATGTATATAGGTGTGTGTATAGATGTGTGTATGCATATGTATATGTCTGTGTATATGTGCATGTATTGTACATATGCATATGTGTATACGTGTATGTGTGTAGGTGTTTGTATATTTGTGTGTTTGTATATGTGTCTGTATTGCATCTGTGTATGTGTGTGTATATGTGTGTCTGTGTATGTGTGTGTGTGTATTGTGTATGTGCATGTATGTATATAGCTATATGTATAGGTAGCTATATGTTTATGTATATAGCTGTGTGTATAGATTGTGTATGCACATGTATATGTCTGTGTATATGTGTGTAGGTATATGTGTATAAATGTGTGCGTATGTGGGTGTGGGTGTATGTGTGTGTATGTGTGTGTATGTGTGTGCTAGCAGGGGATATGCTGAGCAGGGAAACATGACAAGGACCTGGCAGCAGTCCCAAGGGGTGATAGTGGTGGCCTGGATTCTGGTGGGCTGGGGGTGAGGAGCGGATGGATTCCGAGAGTTCGGAGGGGCTTGGGCAGGACTGGGTGGTGGTTTGGAAGTGAGTTCGGAGGGGCTTGGGCAGGACTGGGTGGTGGTTTGGATGTGAGTTGGGAGGGGCTTGGGCAGGACTGGGTGGTGGTTTGGATGTGAGTTCAGAGGGGCTTGGGCAGGACTGGGTGGTGGTTTGCATGTGAGTTCGGAGGGGCTTGGGCAGGACTGGGTGGTAGTTTGGATGTGAGTTGGGAGGGGCTTGGACAGGACTGGGTGGTGGTTTGGATGTGAGTTGGGAGGGGCTTGGGCAGGACTGGGTGGTGGTTTGGATGTAGGAGGTGGGCAGGAGGAGGCAGCAAGTGTCTGCTGTGGGAACCCGGGTAGTTGACGGGGGCTCATTCTCTGAGGTGGGAGAGAGGAGCAGACGGGGAAGGCAGTGAGTTCAGCCCTGTACCCGACATGTGGGGCAGAGCTCCTGCTTTCTGGGGGTTCTGTGGCCTTCTCTGAGTGACGCCCACACATGCACATACACACCTACTTCCCCCAGTGCACCTGGGCTATTCCCCAGCTTGGCAGCTGATGGGAAGAATCAGAAAGGGTCTGGAGGGCAGTGGCTGCATCCTGCTTCAGCCCGAGCTCTACCTTGACCAGTAAGTCCTGAGCCCCGGCCATTTCCGGGCTGTCCCCGGGCCTGGTGGGAGGAGGAAGACATGGCCACCATTCTATTAGAGGCCTGGCTGTGGCCAAGCTCTCTGAGGGACAGGAGCCTGTAGCACTGGACTTGGTGGCCCAAGCCCCCGCCACCGGTGGACAGACGTGTACCTCAGAATCCAGAACTCAGGTCCCAGCACTCTGTTCTAGCATTTGAGGCAGCCTCATCCTAAAGCCTGGAGTCCCTCCTCACCTCAGCCTTGGGCCCCTCTGGCTGGATCGCAGGGTGCTAGCGTCTTCCTCTTGGCAGAAGGCCAATGGAACCCCAAGAGGCGCTCTCTCTGCCCCCTCTTTTCAGCCTCTCTAAGTGTCCCTCCTCCATGCCCACTGCAGAGCAGCCCCCGTCTGATTTGCTGGGTCATCCTTGTCCCCTTGGAGCCTCAGTTTCCTCACCTGTCCATGGCAGAGCCATAGTGGGGGAAGTCCCCATGATGAGGAAGGGGCACATTCCTCAGAACAGGGGCATCTCTTGTCCTCCTGTCGGGGTCCCTGCCTGCAGTGTGGGGGGCCGCCTATGAGAAGGCTCTGTGGGCCCCTCCTCTGGGGCCCTCCCTGGCAGGCGGCCAGCAGTTCTTCTAGGCTGAATGAGTTATTTTGAAGCCAATGTGGGAGGTGGATTAATGAGCAGTTGGCTCTGGAACTGTGATCGGTGCCAGCCCCCAGCTCCCACCCTTGTGCCCACTGGCTCTGGAAATGCCACCGAGCATGGGCCTCCCTCCCCAGGGCTGAGCAGCAAGAGGCAGGCTAGGAGGCCCACTGTCCTGTCTCACCCATCTCCCATCCTCAGGCCTCCGGGGCAGGAAGGGGCGTGTGGTGGTTCTTCTCAGGTCAAGCCGAGCTCCTAGCGGGCCATCCTTGAGAGTCCCCAGCAGGACTTCGAGGCCCCTCCGAGGCTGCCCCAGTTCTCTGCTCTGGGCACAGTGCGTTGGTTGTCCAACATTCCTGTGAATCTTTAGCAGCAACAAAAGTTCGGAGCCCTTGCCTGCCACAGCCAGCCGCATTCCAAGAGGGACATGCAGCTGGGGTTCCTGCTCCCATTTAGCACATGAGGAGCAGGCGCAGCCAGTCACACAGCCAGGGGGTGGGGGAGTCCAGGAACCCATCTCCTGTGCGTGCCCGTCTACCATGACGCTCCCTCAAGCCACAAATGCTCCCTCCTCCCTCTCTCTCCCCGCCTCCCCGTCCTCCTCCTCTCACTCCTTCCTCTGTGGCCCTCATGCTTGCTCTGTCCCCCTTCTGATGACCCCAAATCCTTTCCACCCTCTTCCCAGGGTTTCCTCCCCATTGGGCCATGACCTCCACAAAAGCAGTGGCACAACAGACCCATCTCAGTCACCCCAGCATCCAGCACAGGGCTGGTCACAGCAGCATCCACAACTGTCCACTGTCCACTGAGTGACCAAGTGAATGAATGTGTGCAGCCCAGTGCGACCCGGAGCTCCCTTCCAAGCAATCTGTTCCTCCGGCTTGCATGCCTCTGGCTGTGGGAAGCTCACTTCCTTATGAAGAATCCGTTTCCACCTTTAGATGGTTCTGTCCATCTGGAAGGCTGGCCTTATGGTGAGCTGGAAGCTGCCCCTCTGGAGCTGCCCACATGAGCCACACAGAACAGACCTGCTGTCTTTCCCCACTTCATCCTTTCATCAAAACCCCACTGCTTTGTGCTCCAGGCTGAGCGGTGGAGATCTGGCTCCTGCCCACTAGCCTGGGTCACCACATCCCGGCCCCTGGCTTCTTTGCTGTTTCTCGTGCACATCATGCCTGATTCCCCGCCCAGCACCTTTGCACCCCTAGTCTTGGTGGGCCCCTTCTCCTCCATCAAATCTCCGCCCAAACATGTCCTCTCCAGCGGAAGTCAGCCCTTCCCTTGTTCTGTTGCGTCCTCCTGTTTATTTCCTTCACTTGCCAGCTCATCTCAGCTTAGCTCATCTTACTTCCTTAATTTGCAGTCTTTATTTCCAGCCACCATGAGAACAGAAGGTCTCTGGAGTGGGGACCTCATCTCTAACCCTGGAGCCTTCCACAGGGCCTGGTACACAGGCATTAATAACTGTGTGCCCAATGACATCATCCCCATCCCCATCACCATTCTCTTCATAGAGGCAGAAGAGCCATGAAGCGGCTAAAAACCAGGCCTCTGGGCCATACTGTCGGGCGCTGGGGCTGAATCCGGGACTCAACCAGTGTTTCCAAGCAGCCTCAGAGATAGAAGCAGGCAGGGCTGAGAACGCTGATTCCCCACTGCTCAAGCAGGCATCTTGATTTTGCCCAGAATTTAGGCTTTTTCTCTTAAATCTTTCTCATTCCCCTGTAAACACAGAATCCCTTCAGGATCTGCAGGGGAAAGGAAATTCATGTATAATGAACATCTCCTGTGTGCCTCGTGAGTTTGTTTGCTCTTCCTAACAACCCCATGATTGAAGCCCCTGCTTTACACATGAGGAGCCTGAGGCTCCTCAGAGAGGCTGATGCACTTGTTCAAGGACACACAGCTGGGAGAGATGAACCTGGGACTGCACCTCAGTGCTGTGCGACCCCAGGATCTTGGGGTTTGGAACTGGAGGAGTTCTGTGGAAGTTGGAGCCAGCATGTTCTGTAGAGCCAGAAACAGGCTTTGGCTGCCCCTGAAGCCTGATCCAAAGGTAGCGAGTTCCTCCACTGGAGGATACCAACAACATGCCGAGTAAGCTACCACGAAGCCTGTGCAGTTGACACGTGTTGGCTCCGTTCCAACAACTTTAGGAGGAGGGAACCATGCTCAGCCCTATTTACCCTGAAGAAATGAAGACTGAGAAGTCAGTGGAAGGCTCTGGGACAGAGTGGAATGAATATGCAGTGGAAGTAGTCATTACAGCAGTTCCAATGCGTGCGTCACTGCTTACGTGGGACACCGCAGTGGTGTAGCCAACCCTGGGCTCAGGGTGCTGCAAACAACACTCCACTTAATGTTTACAGCAACCCAAGGAAAGCCAGTGCCATTATTGTAGCCATTCTCCAGATGTAGAAATGGGTTCAGAAAGGTTAAGTAATTTGCACAAGGTTACACAGCTTGTCAGTGGCAAAAAAATGACAGTCACATGACCGACTTCAAGCCCCACGAGAAATCCCCAGCCGATGGGGCTGCTGCTTCTGAGATGAAGCAACTGTGAGCCTCTGTCAGGGTCAGGAGCCCCAGTCCTCTTTCTAGGGCCACTTGTGACGTCCCCATCCTTGTGGGCCTCAGCAGAAGGGAGAGTATCCCTGGGGATGTCCTCTGGCCATTTCAAGGACAAATTGTAGAAGGCTCTCGGTTTGAGGGGCCATCTTTCCTGTGACCGTCTCTGGCTCTCACAGGTGCAAAGAATCACCCTTTCAAGAGGGTCTTTGGATCTAGAACCTTCCACACTCCTCTCCCATCTGATCAGCCATACCACTCTGAAAAAGCAATCTGAAGGAAATATTTTAAAATTTGAGAACAGCTTTTGGCACAAAGGTATGCATCACAGCTTTGTGCAGAATAGCAGGAAACAATTTTCAGATTGTGAGCCATGGGATCAGCCTCTTGGAGGAGAAAGAACTTAGAATGAAAGGGAAATGCTCATGAAATCTTACATGTACTGAGCAGGAGACGACAGAGCACCATCTAAAGCACAGGGGTAAGCAAAGGAACAAAAGGATGTCAGCGAATGTCGAGGACGCTTGGGGTGAGACAGAGCTGGGGACTTTTCTATGTTTTTTCCTTATTGTCATATTTACCAAGTTTATTTAAACAAGCATTACTTTTATAGTGGGTCAGTGGGGAGAGAGATAGAGAGACCTCTATTTTATGCAACTAAAACCGAAACTGCTTCTGGATGCAGACAAGAACCAGGTGTGCCACCATGGCCAGGGTGCAGGCTCTCCCACTGCCAGATCCTGTGAGGCTGACAGATGTTGAATTTTCTAATGCTGCCCTTCTCTGAGGAACACTGGACATCTCAGTTAAAAATGTTGTACCTGGGTTGCCAGAAATTCTTTCCAAAGCACTTACAGTCTTACCTCAGGCTTGGCTGTGGGGCGTCTTGGCAGTTCTTTTGCCTGCAACTCTTGCACGTATTTTCCAAAGCACAGAATCGTTTTTAGTGGAAGTAGTAGCTTTCCCCTATAGGATCTTCAGCGCAAGGGCTGGGGAAAAGGTGGGCAGTGGGTGTGGCATTTCAGCTGGCTGATGTCCATATTCACATGAAGGGAGTTCATCTGATCCAATGGGCTTGACCAGGGAATTTAATTATTATTTGGGTGTACCAGGGCTGAGGGCCCTTTCCAAGCCAGGCCAAGTCTGCAATGTCCCCTGTGGCCAGGGGAGCCCCGAAGGTCCAGAGACCAAGGAAGGAGCCCAGAGCAGGCCAGGGTAGCCCCTGGTCCTGGGTCTCTTGTGCCCCCAGATGCTGTTTCTCCCCAGCTGGAGCTGGTCTGCTGAGGGCCTTCAGGAATCCTCCAGGGGTGCCCAGCACATCAAGAGAGCATCTCACTCTGGGCGCCTGTGTCCTTAATCTTCATGGGACCATGCCCGTGAGAAGGTGGAGGACCCTTCAGCACAGCCGCTGCCTGCCCCTGGGTGGGGGCTGATCCTGAGGGTGGGTCTTTGGAATGGAGCAAGTAGAGGTGAGGAGTGAGGGGGAAGGGGGTGTGCTCTATCCTGTGCTTTGTGATGAACTCCTAGCCCCATCCGAGGGAGGTGAAAACTGAGGCTTGGTACAAGAGACTTTCCCAAGATCATCCAATCTGCAGCAGAGCCAGAAACCCAGGACATGAGGTTTCTCAGGGGGCATCAGGACCCCCAAGTGCTCACTGTGGAAGGTTCTTCCAAAGCCTCCTTCTGGTCCTAGATGGGCCCATCATAGAGAAGGAATAGTGAGTCAGCTCTAGGCAGTGTGTACACTGGAAAGAACATGGGCTCTGGAATCAGATAAACTCGGTTTCTACTGTGTGATCTTGGGTAAGTCACTTAACGTCTCTGAGCCTTCCATTTTCTGTAGCTGGACACCAATACCAACCTCATGGGGTTAGTTTGAAGCAAAGGAGCTTTCCTGGGAATGACAGGGAAAGAGAAGTCATTGACACCAGGGGATACTCAGCCGGTCTCAATGCAGGACAGATGCTCCCAGGACACACCAGCGGGAGGTGCCCCCTGCCGGGGTCTGGAGGGCAGGACCAGCATGCCTCCTCCCCTGAAACCTCTGCGCCTGACATTGCCTGGCACGAGGCAGGGGCTTGATAAGTGTCCGCTGGTCAAATGGAGCGGATCTGGCAAGGGGCCAGCCCCATTCCTGGTGTTCTCCCTGCCTTCCTGGCTCTGGAGCCCCCTCCTGCTCCGAAGGCTCCGCTCTGCCATAAGCCAGGTCCCTACCCTGCCCTGTGTGGCTCAGGAGACGTGGACATCCCCGAGCTGGTCCAGATGCCTGCACCCCTGCTTTGCTCCTGGGGGAGGACTTTGCCTGTTTCTCATGGACGCTTACACCGTGCCAGAGGCTGGGCCTCACCTGCACGATCCCGTTAATGCCTCGCAACCCCACAGGGCAAGCGCCTTGAGGATCTTCACTCTACAGAGGTGGCAGCTGGAGCTTTGGAGGAAAGGAGTTGCTGCTGCGGACTGAATTGTGCCCCTGCTGCCCCCACATTCATATATGGAAGCTCTAACCCTCTATGTGACTATATGTGGGACGCGGTCTTTAGGAGGTAATGAAGGTAAAATGAGGTCATAATCCCACAGGACCGCGGCCTTATAACAAGAGGAAGAGGGACCGGAACGCTCTCTCCATGTGAGTGTACAGGGCAGGCCAGGAGGAGGGCCCGCTCCAGAAATGGCCCCGCGCCAGGCTGCCCAGCCGCCACCGCTGGGAGAAATGAGTTTCTGTTGCGAGCTGCCAAGTCTGCAGTACTGTGTTATGGCCGGGGCTGACCGTCACTCACCCAAGGTCACACAGAGAGGAGCAACCAGGATTCAAGCTCAGTCTGTTCTTGAGAACTCAGGCCTGTTCATGACCCCACAGTGGGTCTCCTGTGCTAGGGCTGTGCCTCAGTAGCCGGGTCTGTGGAGTGGGTGGCTTTTTTCTGCCCTGCTCCAGGGTCATGAAGCCTGAGTAACCTCTGACTCACCTCAGGCTCGGCAGGCTCCCTGCTGGCCATGGGGCCATTTCTGCTGCTGCAGCGCCCCCTGCTGGCCCAGACCACGTCTGCCTTGTGCCTGTCCCCTGGAGTTCGTTCCCCTCCCTCCAGATCTGGCTCTCCAAGCCCTGCCCCTTCCGTGCCATCCCTCAGGTTCTGCAGGGCACTGGCCACTTCTGCACAGCCAGGCCTTCCCACCCTACCCCCGAGATTCACACAGCAGGGTCCACTCCCTCCCAGGCTTGGCTTCCCCAGGCTGAGGGCTGGGCATTGGCACCCTTCCACAGACCACATGAGTCAGCTCCCTCCCCACCCAACAAGGCCAGTGCTGGCTCTGTCTGAGGTCCCTTTGTTCAGGTCTCTTCTGAAGAAAGGCACCAGAGGCTCCAGCTCTGGCCATAATGCCCCAGATGAAGCTTGACAGGAGAACTGGACACAACAGGCCAGGTGGGGATGGGACGCCTGGATACTGCCTTGGGCCTGAGTGGGCAGGGAAGAGGCAAAGATATGCTATCGTGGATCCTAGGCTGGCTACAAGGCTCTCAGATGCCAACCCACCTCCCTCCTGTCCTTTTACACTCCCTGGGCCCCCTGCCCCCTGCAGCCCAGGGCCCCTCACTGCCTCCTCCACCAGCTGCTCACTGAACCCCTTGCAGCTCTTGGAGAGGGCAAGCTGAGATTCTGGAGCCAGAAACTCCTGGGTCCTTTTCTACACTAACTCACTTTGTGACCGTCTTCTCTCTTGGCCTTCATTTCCTCAACTGTGCAATGGGAGCAGTGCACCCCTCTTGGGTGTGAAGGGCCCAGCAGAGGGCCCAGTGCAAAGCTGGCATCAGTGCATGTTTGTGCGATGGGCAGACGGGTTGGGGGGGTCAGTAGCCTTGACTACAGGGACAGGGACTCTGCTCACCTCCAGGCTGTCTTCCTTGCCTTTCTTTCCTTGAAGGGAGTGGTTCCCTCTGAGTGCCTATGCTAATGAGCTCCCTGCAGCCCCATCTGCATAAGGAGCTTCTGACTCGGTTTCTCTGGGTCAAGCTCAGGCCATGGAGGCATCTTAAGGTCAGCTTCAGGTGGGAAAAGTAGGTAGGGGTGTTGGGAGGCAGATCCAGTTCCAATCTTGATTTCACCAAGTTCTTATCGAAGAAACTCCTGGAAAACTGTTTTCCATTGTCTGAGCCTCAGTTTCATCTTCTGGAAAATGGAGCAATGACACCCTGTTAAAGGAGCTCCATGAGAAGGTGCAACTCAGAGTAGGTACCTCGTGCCCACACCCACCACAGTCTGGGTTGCATCTACACTTGCCCTCTCACCTCTCGGTCCCTAACTCCTCTGAGCTGCAGTAGCTCAAAAGCAGCTCAAACTCAGCTTATCTCACCCTCAGCTCCTTACCCCACCCTAGTAACTGCCCACCCTCCACTCACTGCACAGACCAGAAACCCAGGTGGGGTTTCCTTGATTCCTTTCTCTCCCTCAACTCCTTCCCTAGTCCCCAGACCCACAGCCCCAGAAGATTCCATCCTCACACACTCCTGCTGCCTCCTTCCTTGACTGCCCACTGGACTGGTGCAGGAGCCTGTTGGCGGTTCCCACATTCGTCTAGCTCCTTTCCAACCCTTTCCCCACACTGCAGCTAATGACTTTATCAGGCTCACATGTGGTTCCTTGCTGAAAATCCTGCAGGGGCTTCTCAGTGCTTTTAGGAGGAAGAACACATGTCTCTGCTGGAGGTCCTGCATTATCTGGGCCCTATGACGACCCCGTTAGATTTCAGGGCGCCTTCCCCTCACTTGGAGGTCCAGCCATCCTGGACTTCCTTTGTTGACCTTTCCCTCTGTCTGGAGTGTTCTTTCCCATCCCACCTCATTGCCTGGTTGCCACCTACTCACTCTCCAAATCTCAGCCCAGGCACAGCATCTCTAGAGAGGCTTGTCCTGAGCCCCCGGCAGGGTTGAATGCCTCTGCTGCAAGCTCCTGGCAGTCTGCGGCCTCTTCTTTGGGCCCTTTCTTGGTTATTACTAAACAAACCTTTGGGTGACCCTATGGCAGTCTTCTCTGTCCCACAGACCGCAAGCTCCCTGAGAACAGGGTTGCCTCTGTGCCTGCTTGCCTTGGCAGCTCCAATCCCTGCAGAGAATTTGGGATGAAACAGATGCTTGATAAATATGGTCATATCCTCCTTGAACCCCTGGAGGCGTTCATTCTATGTCCTGAGTTTTGCACAAGATGTTCAGGCTGATTATTGGTTGGAGAGCTCACGATGTGGTGGAAAGAATCTTAGTCTGGGATTTCTGGGATTCAGGAGTCTTGAGTTCTAGCCCTGGTTCTGCTGTGTGACTCTGGGCAAATCACTGCCCCTCTCTGAGTCTGTGTTCTCACCATAACATCAAGGGGCTGTATTGTGCAAGATCAGAGCAATCTCTTCCAATCGGATTGGTACAGGAAAATTTCTTGAATAAGACAGGGCCTGTGCAGGGTCTTGAAATAAGAGCAGGACTGAGTGAGGTGGAGAAGGAAAGGCATTCCAGATGGGAGGAACAGCATGAGCAAAGGTGTGAATTCCATGTGTGGCTGGATGGAGGGTGGGAGGTGAGGCCCGGGTGAGCAGGAATGGTGGGGAGCAGGGACTGAACTCCCCTTCCCAAAGTCCTCTGGGGCCCCCAGCTGACTAGGATCCCAGTCCCAGCTCTGAGAATGGCTGGTTCAACCTGAAGCTGCCTTAATTGCAAGGCCCCTCAATTATCCACCCCACCCAGCACCTCCCGCCTCTGGCGTGGTGGGTTAATTTCTGGCTCTCCAGAGTTGTCCTGTTAATAGTCTTGTCTTCCTGTAACCGACAGCTCCCTCATCAGATAGCGGCAAGGACGAGTCCTCCCGGGGGGAACCAGAGGCTCCTGCCTGCCGCCCTCTATGGCTAGGGAGATGGCGTCACCGCCCAGGAATGCTGCACCCAGGCCCCCTCCCCATTCCCAGCAGCTTATCTAGTCTGGAATCTTGTGTCTGGCTTTGTCATCTCCTGCCCTGTGCCGCCCCCTGCCACCCTCAGCCCACACAGTGTCCCCTAGAGCCGGCTCCTGTGGGGTTTTGGGTTAAAAGCCTGCCAAGATTGGTTTCTTGGTGCCTCGTTGGGCCAGGTCTGGAGCTCTGGCTTCTGGGGGTGAGGCTGGGTGCCGGCATCCTGGCTGAGGGATGGGTTGAGAGGCAGCAGTTCATGTGCAGGATACTGCAGGCTGGATTAGCAGGCTAAGATTGGGATGGGTGGGAACTTTTCCTGCCAGAAAGAGCCCGGGTCCCTGAAACAGTGGGGACTACGGGATGGGAAGCAGGGATTTCATCCTGAACAATCAGCCCACCCAGTGGGCCCAGCATCGAAGCAGTGGGGAGAGACTGGGTGGGTGAGATCAGCCAAGTGTTTGCAGCAGGTGCTGAGTCCTGGGGTAAGGTTTGCCCCTTGTGGTCACCTAAAATGAAGTGCCCATCAAAGGCAAGACTTCAAAGGCCACTGGTGCCAGAGAACAGAATTAAGGGCAGAAGGAATTCAAGGACTGTTTTTAATGGTACCAGACAGCTTAAAGAAAGGAAATGCGATGAAAAATCCCTAGAGCCTTAGCCCAAGGCATGGACCCAAACTCGAGAACTTTCTACGGTCTGGAAAAAGAATCTCATCTCCTATCAAGGCAGGGCAGACACGACCAAACACCAGATGCCTACTTTGATCTGGTGGGTTGCTGAGTTACAATATTAGTTGAATTC